>NC_000020.11:4763304-4914819 GCF_000001405.40 Homo sapiens | reverse complement strand
ATCTGCCTGCCTCAGCCTTCCAAAGTGCCAGGATTACAGTCCTGAGCCACCGTGTCCAGTGCTTTATTATTTTTAATGGCTGATTATCTCCTCTAAATGAGTGTATAATAATGTAACTGTGTCTTTTTGATGGACATTTATGTTGTCCCCAAGTATTCAGTATTTCATAAATTACAGCAGTGATCAACCTTGAATATATATATTACCTGCATGGATATTTCTAGAGGATAAGCTTCTATGAGTATAATTGCTGGATCCACAGAAATACCTGTTTTAAATCCCATTGCCAAATTTCCCTCCATGAAGGCCATTCCACCAAGAGCATGTTCTCTCCAAGAACACAGGAGAGTAACTCTCCCCCATACCTTGGTCAATACCTGGTTCAGTTTTTTAAGTTTCCCTCTAAGTTTGTTTTTTTTAAAATAAAATTTTAATAATTATTTCCATAATTTAAAATGATATGGAACAGCTTTTCATGTGTTTTATTGTATATATGTTTTTCTTCTATGAATGATATATTCCTAGCCCTTGCCCATTTCCTTTCCATCCTTTTTCCTTAGGCCTCTCAGGGATGAATTGGATCGTTTGGTTTTATTATTGGTTTGAGGTGTTCTTTACGCATATTGATACTGACCCTTTTTATATCTGCTGCACTGTATTTTCTCCTAGGCCATCACTTGTCTTCTGCTTGCTTTTAGTGTATTTCACAATGCCAGAATTTGAACTTTTAATATACTTTTTAAATCTGTAGTTTTTAAATGTAGTTGCACTGTTAACCATATATACAGTTACCTTAATATTTATTACATGTGCATTTTCCTTGATATTACTCTGTGTAAAAATCTTTTCCCTTGTAGTATTCTGGGTGTCAGTGGCCTATAACTAGTTATTTGAGCCATGTGTGGTGGCTCATGCCTATAATCCCAGCACTTTGGGAGGCTGAGGTGAGTGGATCACCTGAGGTTAGGAGTTCGAGACCAGCCTGACCAACATGGTGAAACCCCGTCTCTACTAATAATATAAAAATTAGCCAGGTGTTGTGGTGGGCACCTGTAATTCCAGCTACTCGGGAGGCTGAGGCAGGAGAATCGCTTGAACCTGGGAGGCGGAGGTTGCAGTGAGCCGAGATCACGCCATTGCATTCCAGCCTGGGCGACAGAGCGCGACATCGTCTCAAAAACAAAACGAAACAACAACAACAACAACAACAAAACCTAAAAAAACAAAAACTAGTTATTTGTTATTATAAACAGTGATTACTTTCTTTGGGTTAAAGCTTTTGTTCTCATTATTGTTCTCCAGTATAGATTCCTAGAAGTGGAACCGTTTGGCTAAAAAGTAAAAATATTTTATGGCTCTTGCTACTGGCTGGCAGAACCCGGGACGATGGTGTGGCCCCTTACCGAGGAGTGTTCTCCAGTGGGCTGGTTTACTTAGGTGAACAGCAAAGCTTGAGTTCCTCCAGCTAGAACATTTCCCCTTCTAGGTGCAGGAAGTCGGCCTCAGGTGGTTATGTGGGCAGGGATCTTAACCGAGGCAGCTCAGGGTACTCTCACCTGTTCAGCCTGGGCCTCGTCCACAAACAGCATGGGCCTCTGAGCCAAACTTCCCTTCCCCTGAAGGATGTGGGGGTGCCCCTGCTGAGGTTGCCCTGGGATTTTATTTCTTTTCTCCCCGGCTGAGCCTTCTGCTAAGGCAGCCTCCCCATACGGTACATGGAGTATGTTTCTCCATCAAAACCATGCCTGGTCATGCACTCACCAGGAGAATTACAAATGGCTTTCGGGGGGAGGAAAATGTGGTTCACGCTGAAACAGCCTCTAAGTGGATTGTCTCTGCAGGTGGTGATAAATGGAGGCGCCACCTCCAGCGGTGAGCAGGACAATGAGGACACTGAGCTCATGGCGATCTACACTACGGAAAACGGCATTGCAGAAAAGGTACCCCTTCCGTCACCCCGTGTCCCCACTCCCACCGCCATCCCCTCCCACAAGTGCTGCCCCGGATCTGGATCCGGATCCCTTTCAGACACTTGCATGTCCTTCGTCTGGGGCTTGGTCTCTGACTCCCAAGGGGCTGTGTTCTCTTCATAAGGGAAGTAGGAGGAGCCATAGGGAATAGAAGTTACTAGTTTTTTTTTTTTTTTTTTTTTGATTGTTTTAATGGCATTTAAGGTGAGAACCATAGAGGAGGATCCAGGTATTTAAAAAGGCCTCAGCCAAGATGGCAGAGGGAAGTGGTTAAGAGCTTGAGGTCTGGCATCAGGTCTGGGTGCAAATATGAGTCAGACTGAGGAAATTATAGAAGTTCTCTGGGCCTCAGTTCCCTGTCTCTAAAATGGGAATAAAAATGTCAACATCTGGTTGTTTTGTGGATTGAATGAAATGATATGTGAAGTTATTAGCATCGTGCCTGTTACAGATACATGTGCAGTAAATAAGAGAATAAGGGAAATCAGCAAGTGGTTTATGCAGCCTATGAAAATGCCTTTGAGTTTTGACCGTAGCACCTTTGGCACCTTAGTGTGCCAATGGAAATGGCACACTAAGGTGGGGAGAATCGTGTTTGTGGTTTTTTTGTTTATTTTTGTTTTGCTCTGTGCCTCGTTCCATCTCCTTGAATGGTCAGACTTTGTGACCATAGAGGTCAGGATAAAGTTGCCCAAAGCGGCTCCAATCTGGGCTCAGTGGCTCACACCTATAATCCCAATACTTTGGGAGGCTGAGGCGGGAAGATTGCTTGAGGCCAGGAGTTTGAGACCAGCCTGGGCAACGTAGCAAGATCCTGTCTCTACAAAAAAAAAAAAAAAGAAATAATTATCCAGGTGTGGTGATGTGTGCCTATAGTAGCAGCTACTCAGGGGCAGGAGAATTGCTTGAGCCTAAGAGTTTGAGGCTACAGTGAGCTAAGATCATGCTTCTGTACTCCAACTGGGAAGACAGAGTAAGACCCTGTCTCTAAAAAAAATAAATAAATAAATTCATAAATAAAAATAAAATAAAGTAGGTCCAGATATCCCGATTTCTTTTTTTCTTTGTATCTGCCATGATGTCTAACATATGAGAAGTTAGATAATCTGATATCTCCAAATTGTATCGCAGCTCTGAGGCTTTCATTTGAGTTTTACTTGATAGATTTTAAACACAGGTTTTATTTATACTATGAAAATTTACTAATTTTCAGCTGACATAATAAGAAACTAAACAATTTATGTAATGAGAAATTCTATTCTGGAACCACTGTATTATACTGTAGACAGTGTATACTATGTATTCTAATAACAGACCACCCAGAAGTTGACACATACAAATATAGTACCTGAGTTGGGTATTAGCATGGTGAGTTCACAGTGTAATCACTAAAGTGATTAAGAACAAATAAATTGTATTGAAATTCTGAAATAACCAAATTTTATGCCCTTTTAAACAAAATTCCAGTCTGGGATATGGAAATTTCATTTTTGCCTCTCAACCAATATTGTTATTATTTTCCTGCTGCTTGGAGCTATTATAAATTTTATGGAGGTTAATTAAAGTAGATTCAGGCAGAGATACTGAAATTCCAGAAGTGCGGGGTTCCAAGCTGCTCCCCAAAGGTTAGTGCAGTGGTGTTTGGCATGTGGATTGGTGCCTGTGGTCTGCAGCTGAGGCACATCCCACACTGCCGGGCCGCAGCTTTCACACGGTCCATCTTGTAACAAAGGGCTTCTTCACAGACTTGGTGGGCCACATATAATCCTCTATGCCATGATTCCAGGCTGTCATGTTTTCAGACTTCCTCCTTCTCTGTCTGGAGATCGTCTTTAGAAATAAATAGTGATGAGCATTAACACTTTGGGGCTTAGCTTTACCTTTTACTGATGGGAGGGATCCAGTTGTAGGAAAAATGTCTCTAGCACATTTATGCTAGATGTTCATTTTCCTGTTTGGGTGAACATTTTTTCATTGTCTAAACATTGATACATTTGTATTTCCTTGAATACCAATGAAATGGAGTATCTTAATATTTTCCTGGCCATTTTTCTTACTTTATGAAATGAGGAGGGCAGTGAGAAGAGCTGCTACATATTAAATAGTGCTAGTTGGGCTGGGCGTGGTGGCTCATGCCTGCAATCACAGCACTTTGGGAGGCCGAGATGGGTGGATCACTTGAGGTCAGGAGTTCAAGACCAGCCTGGCCAACATGGCGAAACCCCGTCTCTACTAAAGACACAAAAATTAGCCAGGAGGGGTGTCACACGCCTGTGGTTGGGTTGCAGCTATTTGGGAGGCTGAGGCAGGAGAATCACCTGAACCCAGGAGGCAGAGGTTGCAGTGAGCTGAGATGGCACCACTGCCCTCCAGCCTGTATGACAGAGTGAGACTCTGTCTCAAAAAAAGTAAATAAATAAAATGCTAGTCATTAAGCCAGACCCTCAGCGGGCTGTTTTTTTTTTTTTTTCTTGAGACAGAGTCTCACTCTGTCACCCAGGCTGAAGTGGAGTGGCCCAGTCTCTGCTCGCTACAATCTCTGCCTCCCTGGTTCAAGCGATTCTCCTACCTCAGCCTCCTGAGTAGCTGGGACCAGAGGCGCACGCCATCATACCAGGCTAATTTTTTTTTGTATTTTTAGTAAAGTTGGGGATTTACCATGTTGGTCAGGCTGGTCTCAAACTCCTGACCTCAGGTGATTTATCCGCCTTGGCCTCCCAAAGTGCTCAGATTACAGGCGTGAGCCACCATACCCGGCCAAAAGTAGTGGAAGGCTCTCAGGAAGCCGGATTGCCCCAGTGTGAGCAGAGTGGCATGTAAGCTGGTTATTAAAGAGCCTGCACTGGATGTGCTGCCCTGTGTGCCACTGGGCCTTTTGCTGCCCGTTGTTTCAAATGCTTAGTTGCAATTATCATATTAAATACAAGATAAAATAAACTTGTCTTCTGTAACTTTGAGATCTACTTTTTTTTGTTAGAGACCTTTTCTGACTTGGTCCAGGTGGGTGGCTCATGCATGTAATGCCAGCACTTTGGGAGGCCAAGGTGGGTGGATTGCCTGAGCTCAGGAGTTTGAGACTAGCCTGGGCAACATGGTGAAACCCCGTCTCTACTAAAAATACAAAAAAATTTAGCCGGGCTTCATGACATTCGCCTGTAATCCCAGCTACTTGGGAGGCTGAGGCAAGAGAATTGCTTGAATCCAGGAGGCAGAGGTTGTAGTGAGCCAAGATAGCACTACTGCACTCCAACCTGAGTGACAAAGTGAGACTGTCTCAAAACAAAAGAGACCTTTTCTGACTTGATCCCTGTGGATTCTCTTTAAGCTATCTTTTGTTAAAGGACTAGTTGTTCCAAAAAAAAAATGACATTCATTTTAACATGATTGTCTAATAGTAAACAGTCCAAAAAATGGAGAAAGTTGAAAATGTGCCCCCTACGTTCTTTATATATTCTACGTAACCAGCGGCTGGCAACCTGATGTAGAGTAACCGTCCTAAAACTGAGATCTGAAATCTGCAATGTTCCAATATCTGAAATTTTTTGAGCACCGACATGATGCTCAAAGGAAATGCTTGCTCATTGGAGCATTTTGGATTTGAGTTTTGGGATTGTGATGCGCAACCAGTAAGTATTTCAAAATCCCAAAAAAATCTGAAATCCAAAACATTTGGGTTCCAAGCATTTTCAACCTGTATGTATATTCCATACCACTTTCCACATAGGTACACACAAACAGATGCCCCAGATGTTAACATTTTACTGTATTTTCTTCATCCTTCTTGTAGGCATATTATTATTTTTGAGCTGTTCAAATCTCACAGACATAATGCCTCTTTATTTAGGGAAAATACTGCATGTGTATTTCCTTAAAACAAAGACATTCTCTTTGTTTTATAACTTCAGTACAATGTTTTTTGAGATAGTCTTGCTCTGTCATTCAGGCTGGAATGCAGTGGCACAATCTCAGCTCACTGCAACCTCCGCCCCCCAGTTTCAAGCAATTCTCATACCTCAGCCTGAGCCTCCCAAGTAGCTGGGATCACAGGCGTGCACCACCACACCTGGCTAATTTTTCTATTTTTAGTAGAGACGGGGTTTTGCCATGTTGACCAGGCTGGCCTGGAACTCTGGCTTCAAGGAATCTACCTGCTTCGGCCTCCCAAAGTGCTGGGATTACAGGCATGAGCCACCACACCCGGTCCCTACAGTACAATTCTTAACACTGATGAATTAAATTATTAGTCATACAATACCTAATTGATTTTATTACTTAATCCCAATTTTAAAATATTTAATATCTACAAGCTTTATTCACATTTCCTCAGTTGTCCAAATAATGTTCATTATTGTAAAATAAATAAATAAGTTAATTAATTTTAAAAGTTTTGGTCCAGGAATCAAATCAGGGGCTGTTGAGGCATTTACTTTTTAGGTATATCTTTAGTCTCCTTTAATCTGGAACAATTTTTCGTTGTTAATGTAACATGGTACAAGCCAGTTTACTTTGTAGAATCTCTCTCAGCTTAGGTTCGTCACTGTAGTTTTATCCTGATTTTTCATTAGTGAGGCTGCATCTCTTTACACATGCTCAAGACCCATGTGTATATCCTTTTCTGGGCCAGTTTTTCCTGGCATTTTCAATATTTAGCTTTGAGGCTGCTATTATCTCAGGAATTGTATCTTTAAATATTAATTCCAGTCTATTCTTTTGGTTTCTGATTTGGGAGCTGCAATTATGCATGTTTTGTTTGTTCTTTGCCTGCCTCCTCCAGCTATCAGTTCTCTTTAATCTTTTTTTTCCTCTTAGCACGGAGCTTTTTCATTCTAGTCTCTGACACTTACTCTGTTTTGCAGCTTATCTGTTCTTCCTTGTGCTCCTCACACTTTCATAGTTTTTTGTATTTTTTTTCCTTTCCATCTGGCCAAATTATGTAAACTCATGTTTATTTCCAGTTTCCCTTAAATGTCTGTTTGAATTTTAAGGCCTTCCTTAGTAAGAATGATTGTTTTATTTTCAAAATGCATTTTTTCATTAATCCATTGAATACTGTAGTATCCTTCTAATTTGTTAACATGTCCTTTATTTCTTAAATTTTTCTTATTTCTTTGGTTAATTTCTATATTCTTTTTTCCTTGTTCTGACATTTAACACTTAACTCTTACCTATATTTGTCTTTTTCTTATTTTTGAGAGCTACCTTTGACTTCCAGCCCTTCTGTTGAGTTTTAAAAAACTATCCTGTGCTTAATTTCTGAGACCTCTTTTATTGTTTTTTGGTTTTGTTTACTGGTTAAAGTCTTTAAAAAGCATTCTTTGTCTCCCACAATTGAAGTAACTTTATTTTTCTGAAGATAGTTTTTTTTTAAGCTTTTTAAAAAATACTACATTGATTATATTTTCTGTTTCTTTGCCTTCATTTTTTTAGTCTTTCTTCACTGTTCCAGGATAGGAGGCAATAAAAGATAGGATTGTGAGGTCTTTGTGTGTGATGAAGTTTATCTAATCGTGGGCCTGCCCTTGAGTGACCAGGTGGAAAGCCGTGTTGTCTCTGTGGGATCTATAGATGTCACTATCTTGTCTTTGGGGCTGATCAACTTTCTCTAGAAAGGAATCGTGTGGTCTCCTGTGGGTATAAGTCTGGCTTCTGTGACCTGGTTTCTGGCATTCTGGAAGCAGATGAGTATCCTGCTGCTGCTGTTTTCCTTGATCGCTGTGTGGTATTCCTCAGCCTGAGGGCTTTCCAATTTATATTCTTCAAACCATACATATTTGTTTCTTGAAGGAGGAGGATAGCAGTAGTTAACACACTGTCTGACCAGTTTGCGGAGTTAAGACCTGTCCTCTCCCCATTGCTACTCTGTCTAGTGCTTCCAAGCATAGCACTTTCTGGGGTCCTGCTGGTCAGCCAGCCCACCTCTTCACAGCATCCTTCTATGAGCACCCAGCTTGTGCATTCCTTCCCTCTCCCAAATTGGTCACAAATCATCCAAACAATTTCCATATTAAAAAAAATATTAATCTCTTTTTCTTGATCTCCTCTTTGCTTTGTCCTTGTTGATGAGTATCATATTTATTCCTCCTGTTTTTAGGACTTAGAAGAAAAGACACATGTGGTCAATCTACCATGCTTAACTAGAACTCAAAAGCTGGCTTGTTGAAAAGAATAATGAAATTGATCTTTTTGGGTTTTTTGTTTTTTGGTTTTTTGTTGTTTTGTTTTGTTTTTTTGAGACAGAGTGTCACTCTGTCACCCAGGCTGGAGTGCAGTGGCACGATCTTGGCTCACTGCAGCCTCTGCCTCCTGGGTTGAAGCGATTCTCCTGCCTCAGCCTCCCAAGTAGCTGGGACTACAGGTGTACGCCACCACACCCAGCCAATTTTTGTATTTTCAGTAGAGACAGGGTTTCAGGGTTTCACCATGTTGGCCAGGCTGACCTCAAGTGATTGGCCTGCCTTGGCCTCCCAAAGTGCTGGGATTACAGACGTGAGCTACCAGCCTGTTCTGTTTTTTTTGAGACAAGATCTCTGTTGCCTAGGCTGGAGTGCAGTGGCATGATCACAGCTCACTGCAGCCGCAACCTCTCAGGCTCAAGTGATGCTCCTACCTCAGACTCCTGAGCGGGTGATCACTGGCATGTGCCACCACACCCAGCTAATTTTTGTTTGTTTGTTTTTGGAGACAGGGTCTCTGTCTGTTGCCCAGACTGGTCTCGAACTCCTGAGCTCAAGCAGTCTGCCGACCTTGGTCTCCCAAAGTGCTGGAATTATAGACATGAGCCACCATGCCTGGCCAAAACTGATCTGTTGTGGCCCTGATCAAGAGAAAAAAAATAGAAAGCACACATATACATTAGTATAGTAAAAAGGAGAAATGTACAAGAGAATAATACATGCTACTTTATGATAATCAGTTTGAAACGCTACAGCGGGGGTTGGCAAGCCAAATTTGGTTTAATATCTGTTCTTCTCAGTAGAGTTTTGCTGGAACACAGCCACATTTCTTTGTTTACCTATTGCCTAAGGCTGCATCCATGCTACAGTGACAGAACCATGTGGCTCCCAAAGCTTGAAATATTTACTGTATGGTCCTTTATAAAAAATATGTGCTGACTGTGCTGCAGAAGAAATGATTTCCTAGAGAAAGAGACTACAATCGACCCCAAAGGTGCTAGACTAGATAAATAACCGCAGAGGAGATAGCAAAGGTTATTAAAAATGTTAAGAAGGCTCCAGGCAGAGAACAGCGTTCTGAGTTCACTCTAGTCTTTGGAGCACAGGCAGTTTTTTTGTTCTTTAGATTATTTTGGACCATAGAATAAGATGGAAAGTCTTTGTAAAGTGACGTAATTATTTATGTAGTCATCTTTTACAGAAACCTTATTAGAGGTTTTTGTTTTTGCAGTATTTAAAATAGCTCATAGTTTACAGTGATCACTGAGTGTGGCGCCACAGTGCGTAGAGTGCACAATGGCCAGAGTGGTCCTTCTGTCATCAGGAGGGGGGGCACAGCGTCTGCCTCACAGTGTTGTCTGATCCTCTTGACCACACAGCCCCCTCCTGTATCATTTTAGTACCAGTTGTGGACCTTTACACTAGTTTTGTTTCTGAGTTGTAGGGCTACCCTCATTACTAAGAAAAGCTTGTGTGTGTGCATGTGCATACATGCGCCTGTGTGTACATCTTAACCTCTGCCTGGATGCGAAAAGTCTTGCTTTTTTTTTTTTTTTTTTTTTTGTGACAGAATCTCTCTCTGTTGCCCAGGCCAGAGTGCAGTGGTGTGATCTTGGCTTACTGCAACCTCTGTCTCCTAGGTTCAAGCAATTCTCCTGCCTCAGCCTCCGGAATAGCTGGGATTACAGGTGCACGCCACCACGCCCAGCTAATTTTTGTATTTTTAGTAGAGACAGGGTTTCACCATGTTGGCTAGGCTAATCTTGAACTCCTGACCTCAGGTGATCTACCTGCCTTGGCAGGTGCTGGAATTACAGATGTGAGCCACTGCACCTAGCCAAAAAGTCTTTTCATCTGCCTTATAATTAACACTAGTGGTTTTGGAATTGTTAGAAAAATGTTGCTTACATTACTGTATAACAGGTTGTACTAGTCTATGATAGGGTTATGTATTCTGTCTTCAGACATTTCTCTTTGTTATGAAATACTTTGTCATGTTACTTTGTGAGCAGCAGCACCACCTGTGTGGCTGTAGCTGACGCGGTGCTGTTGAGCTGACCTTTGTGTAGTGAGCCCCAGGTCTGTAATTCCATCACGTTAGCAAAATGGTGCCCTCAGTTCAGAAGTTCCCAAATCAGGTTCTGTGATTTATGAGAAAGACTCAGAGAATTCAGCAGAGCTGTTTTACTCACAGTTAAGGGTTTTTTTTTTGTTTGTTTTTTTCTTCAGAGAAAGGATACAGATTAAAATCAACAATGGAAAAAGGCACATAGGCAGGGTCTAGGAGACACCAGGCACAGGCTTGCAGCCATCCTCTCCCAGTGGAGTCATGCAGGCAGTGTTCAGTTTTCCCAGCAGTGATATGTGATAACACCCATTCAGCCAGGGAAGCTCATCCAAGCCTTGGTGTCCAGGGTTTTTAATTGGGGATCTGTCGTATAGGTATGGCTGACTGCCTATGTGGCTAACTTTAATTACTCACCAGCCCCTCCAGAGGTCAAGCTGACACTGTGTGGCCAAGTTTCAGGTAAAAAAATATGTATAAACTAGAGAAGAGGCCTCACTATGTTGCCCAGGCTGTTCTTGAACCCTGGCCTCAAGTGATCCTCACACCTTAGCATCCCATGGTGCTGGGACCACAGGTGTGAGCCACTGCACTGGGCCTAAAAAGACATGTTTAAGAGGCAGAAACCCCAAGAGCTCAGGTTATCCCCCACGTACCAGGCAAGACTCAACCCTTTCTTTGAAATGTGCGGGGTTTGGACAACCCAGACCTGCTGAGTTAATCTTTATTGTACATCACTACATGCTACACCCCTCAGACACATACGTACTTTTTCTACCATTTCTCCCAACAAGTTTTTAAAGACATCCATAATCCATTGTAACAAATTCAACACAATGTAAATTTGCCAGTATCCCTTGTTAGGACGGAAGAGAAAGTTTTACCCAAAAGGTCATATTCAGTTACATTTGGATTAGATGAGATGTCAGCTTCCATCAGACATTTACCTTCTGGCTGTGAAAGGTGAGGGTGAACTGTGTCCCTTCTTTTGTTTAAGGGTATTGGGCCCCAAACCCCAAACCCCTGTTGCCTCCATGTGGGTGGAACACATGGAATCAGCATTTTTCCATGTGGATATCTCTTCATTTTGTTTCCTGTTAAACACTTTGTTTGCTAGGTTATAAAACATTTCTTAAAATGAGATACATATCTTGGATTCCAAGAAATGATTGTAGAAATTCCAAGGAAAGATTATTTGTGTGGTGTTTGAAACCAGAGCAGTTTTGAGGTTCTCCTGGGGAACTCGGGGCTACCTTGAGTTTTCTGTTTGGCTCAGATACTGCATGAGTTCAGAACTGATGCTGGGGGTGATTGGAAGAGGCTGGACTCTAACCTAAAGTGACTGGTCTTTATGATGATTTTTGCTTAAAAAACCATGCCACACTTAATGTTTTAAAATATTTTTTTTACTAGTGTTAGGAGAAAAAGAAGAAAAAACCTGTCACCTAAACTATGAATACATTTTTAATGTTTTGTTTTTTAAACAGAATTCAAATCACCGTGTTTATATACTTTAGAATTACTCTTTTCACCTAACGTTATCTGAGCAATAGTGTTTGGATAGGAGGGTGTAGAATTTTAAAGTACAAAGATCCTTTTTACTTGCAGGGATGAAGTGGGCTGGGAGGGGCAGATCAGTGTGCTGTCTCTTTGAAAGTGGTTAAAATTTTCTAAGATTTTTTTCATCTGGGGTCTCACGCAAGGACTGCTCGTGCCAAGGTATCATTTTGTGGTCTCAACCTGGGAACATCTCTGTCCATGCAGGAGGATCCCCAGGCCTGGGGAGAAGCTCTGAGCAAGTTTGGTGTTCTCAGGGATGAGATGTTGCCCAAGGACGCTGACCCCCCAAATTCTGAGGATTGACCATCCCGGTGGGCGACTGTACTTGAGCCAAAGAGAATACTTGGCTTCAAAGATAGCCAAGGCTCAAAACTGCAGGAAGATGGCAACCACTTGATAAAGTTGTTTTTCTGTAATAGTGGCCTGTACATGGCCGAGCTAACACTGGTCTTCACGTTTAATGAGCACCTTCTTTTCTCCTTCTGGCTCGCAGAGCTCTCTCGCTGAGACCCTGGATAGCACTGGCAGTCTGGACCCCCAGCGATCAGACATGATTTATACCATAGAAGATGTTCCTCCCTGGTACCTGTGTATATTTCTGGGGCTACAGGTAAGATGGTTCCTGTAGGATGTGTAACTACCAGCAGGTGTTTGCATTGTCTACCATCTGGAATTGTTTAAAAATTCCACTTTGGTTTTTGTTTATTGAAGACTTTTATAAATTCCTCTTTTAAGAGTGATGAGTAGGGGCTGAGCACAGTGGCTGATGCCTGTAATCCTAGCAGTTTTGGAGGCTGAGGTGGGCAGATCACTGGAGCCTAGGAGCTCAAGACCAGCCTGGGTAACATGGCAAAAGTCCATCTCTACAAAAAATACAAAAATTAGCCATGTGTGGTGGTGTGTGCCCACAGTCCCAGCTACTCAAGAGGCTGAGGCAGGAGGATCGCTTGAGGTTGAGGTTGCAGTGAGCTGTGATCACACCACTCCACTTCAGCCTGGTTGACATAGTGAGACCCTGTCTCAAAAAACAAATGATGAATGGGAATTGTTGACATCACAGCAGGAGGAAGAAAAGAACAGGTAGAATGGATTACCAGGGAAAAGAAAGAAGATGTTCAGGGCACAAGCAAGAGCAGTGACATAAAGGAAGGGAAAGGAAATAGAGTTATAGAAAGAAGGAAGAATAGAGAAAGGAGAAAAGTTGAAGAATAGAGAAAAGAGAAATTAATTTTCATCTCCCATTCCTGGCCTAGTTAACCCACCCACAATCATGGTAACCTCTGCCATGAAACAGGAGCTACCCGGAAAAGTGCCATGTTGGCCAGGACCTAAATGGTAGGTTTTCAGTCTTATTTTTTAAAGGAAGGGAAACTTGCCATGGTAGCAGCAGCTTTGTCTGCTGCAGCTTCCAGTGGGAGGGGAGGGCAGCCGGGCTCAGGGACAAGGTGGGTGGTGACATAGCTGATGGAGGCCTCCGGCGTCTTTGATACTTCCCTCCTCTGTCTTCAGCACCCTTTTCCCTTTCATAGGATGAACGCGGGACGTTTTGGAGAAAGGGGACAACGTGGGGAGGGTCTTTTCTTAAATGCACACTCCTGGACTGAATATGCTTTGGTTTTAACTTGGACTCTGTTCTGAGGTCGGACTTAGCATTTTTCCCTTCTCAAGTTTGTGTGGTCAGTTCAACCTAAGGTATCTCAGGTGCCGAGAAAATCCATCTCATTGTCCAGAGAGGTTGATTCACCCTGGGGTGGGGCTGCCAACAGCTGGGTACTTTGGTTGAGTTTCCAGTTGCCCCGCCCTTCCCTCACCCCGTTTCAGGTATCACAGCCCATGGTAACCCCGACTGGCAGGTGTCTGTTGAGTAGGGGAGGAGTCAGAGCAAAAGGAGCTGAGTGGCCTCGGCAACTAGTCTACCTTGGGCTGAGCATTCTGAACCAGATTCAGGAAGGACACTTTTTGGAATGTTTATCTTATAAATGTTCCCAGCAGTCTTCCCTGGTCAGATAGGAGTGGGAAACCCTGCCTGCATCATGCCCTTCCTGACGATTCAGAGTACATAAAGTTGTGAGCAGCCCTGAGACATCCTGAACAGGAGTATTTCACCCCAGGAAACTCCTTTACAGTCGGGCTTCATGGGCTGCATGTGGCATGTTTGGCTAACGTGGGCAGGAATGGGAAGCTGCTGGAAGAAAAGTAGGAAGTTTGCAGAACAGAAATAAGAACTGGTCAACAGGGGAAGGGAGGGAAGTGAGTCGTGAGTGCTGGGACTATCCTACCAGGGCTACAGGTGTGGCGGGGGGTTGGGGGGACTCCCAAAGGAAAGTGGGATGGGGTTCTTTCTGGAAGATTCCCATGGCTACTGTACGCCCTTAACCCTGCCCTGACTGGAACAGACGAATTCTTTGTTTTCGAAAACAATGCCAGCTCACAGAAAAAGACAGAAAACACTCCATGCGTATGTAACTTATGAAGCTTATGTAACTTTAATCCCCAGACATGAAAGAACTTTTTTAAAGAAATAGACTAATTAACCTAGAAATGTAGATGCAAAATTCTGTATAAAATATTAGCAAATCAAATCCCAGAAGAAAAATACAGTATGACTAACTAGGGTTTGTTTCAAGCATGCAAGAATAGTTCAGCACATCACAATTCATGATAACAGATTAGAGGAGAAAGGCCTTATGGTTTTAGCAATTTATGCCAGAAAAGCATTTTGGGGAAGAAACCCAAATATTTCTAATAAGAATTACATAAGTAAAATATCACCAGTGCTGATATTGACTGTTTCCTTTGTGAGGCATGGATTCATCCAAGTAATAAGTAATAATGACAGTGAATAGTAAGACAATAAAATGTAATGAAAAGGAGAAATGCAGCTGGGCGTGGTGGCTCACGCCTGTAATCCCAGCACTTTGGAGAGGGAGAGGCAGGCGGATCGCTTGAGCCCAGGTGTTTGACACCAGCTTTGCCAACACGGTGAAAACCCATCGCTACAAAAAATACAAAAATAAGCTGGGCGTGGTGGTGCGCCCCTGTAATCCCAGCTATTTGGGAGGTTGAAGCAGGAGAATTGCTTGAGCCTGGGAGGTGGAGGTCACAGTGAGCCAAGATCGCACCATTGCACTCCGTCGAGGGCAATGGGAGTGAAACTGTCTTAACAACAAAGGAGAAATACTGAAAAAGAAGGAAAAAAGTATGGCTTGGTCGAAAAACCAAGGAGATTCTTTATGTGGGCTATTTTTTAACGACAATAAGAGAGAAGAATTAGGATGAAATCAAGAATAAATGAGGAAGGGTTTACTGTTTCTCCTCTGACCCTTTTCCTGCCCACAGCACTACCTGACATGCTTCAGCGGCACGATCGCAGTGCCCTTCCTGTTGGCCGATGCCATGTGTGTGGGGTACGACCAGTGGGCCACCAGCCAGCTCATTGGGACCATTTTCTTCTGTGTGGGAATCACTACTTTGCTACAGACAACGTTTGGATGCAGGTGAGATTGGGGTACTAATGGGGGATGCCAAAGCCCCCAGAAGGCATTGAGCGCAGAAGGCATTGAGCTGCGCCGTTTGCCTAGGGCTGTTGGCAAGGACAGAATGGAGGCACGGGAATGTCCTAGTGGCCGTTGGTCCCCACCCCTCAGTGTTCCTCCCAGTCATTTCCTCTCTTGGTGAATGGCACCACCGCCACCTTCCCCTACCCAGTTGTCCAAGCTGGAAACTCAGCCTCACTCTCCTTCCCCTGCCCCCTTGGCAAGTCATGCTCGCTCCCCAGCACCCCTCTGTGCCCCTATTCCTTACGTTCAGACCAGAGTGTCCCACCAGGCTCCCCGTTGGCTTCCCTGCCTCCAGGGCACTGCTCTTGGACTCACTTTGTGCCCCACACCCAGTGCCATCTTTCTACTTCCACACCCTCCTCAGGGTGAGCCACACTGCAGCTCTCCTCCCTTTTTACACACCAGGCTGCACCCAGCATTTAGGCTTGCCCTTGCTCTCTGCCCCACTTCCATCTCCAGCCATGCCTCTGAGCCCTGTCTCCTGCCTTCCCTGGCCTCACTCCCAAGGGCCCGCTGTCTACCTTCTTGTGTGTCTTCCCTCAACCCGCCTGGCACACAACAGCTCATCCTCCAGGCCCAGCTTGTCCTGCCCTCCCGACTCTGTGGAGCCCTTCATTGTTCTCTGAATTCCCACCTTGTTTTCATCCTTCCAGTGTGGCCTTTATTCCAGTTTGTCCTTTTTGTTTCTATGTCTTTTTCCCACGGTGCTTCCTCCTTGATGCCAGGGCTTTGGCTTGTTCACTTCTGCATTTCCAGCCACCAGCTTAAATGGACGTGGAGCTGGCACAGGAAGGAAGAGAAACATCCTTATCTACCTTCCTACCTCCTCCTGCAAGCTTGTCTTTTCCTCTCCTTTCCTGCTCCTCTCCCCTCTTCGCAGTGCAGCCTCTTGCTTTACCCCAGGGCACTGCTCAGGAAGTGGAGCCTGCTCTGGCAGGACTGTCCTAAGTTCACGGCCAGCTGTCTCTTGCTCTGTCAGAGACAGGCTGAGTAAGGCCTGGCCCTCCCTGCGGTGGGAGGTGGGTGTGAGCTGAAGTCAGGGACTGCATTCTGATGAGTCAGAATCCTTCGGGACCTCAGGGTTGCCCTAACGCGGCACGGGGATAGGGGAGCCTTGGAGGGCGGTGAGCCATGTGCAGGTGTTCTGGTTGCCAGGATAGGCCACACCCTGGGAGGGTAGGCTGCAGGTCTGCTGATGGAAAGAAGCTATGTGGACTAAAGGCTTTGGGGCTGGCAAGCTCTGATGGTTCCCAGATCCCAGCCCTTGCTAGTCTGCCCACAACCACCAAGCTGGGCTGAAGGGAGGAGGGTCTCCTCAAACCCCCCAGGGGGCAGGGCAGGGATATCACTGACCGACTAGGGGAAGGAGATGTGGTCTGGGCCTTCCAAGAAGGGCTCAACCTGACTAGCACCCTCTTTCATTCTTTGGGTACAGTGTTCAGGGCTCTGTGCTTCAAGTCCAGAGTGCACGGCAGAGCTTTTTTTGGCTCACTCAGGATCCTTACCTTGCCCATGGAGCACTGGTTCTCTGGGGAGATGTTCTTTTTCTAAACCGCTGACTTATCCGTGGATTTGTAGGCATAATCCCTCTGTGAATTTGGTCAGTGTCTCTAGCTGAGCATTATTGGTTGACCTGAATAGGGGATGAAAGCTGTGTTTATTGCAGTGAAGTGTGTACCGTGTGCAGCTCTGCCCCAGCTCATGCCAAGGAGGCCAGGCCTGGCCAGCAGCTGAGCCTGATGGGCAAAGTTGCTAATGGGACACAGAAGGGAGGGCCTGGGGGAACTTGGGGTAAATACTTTTGGTCACAGAGGGCATCATCTTGCCCACTGTTGGGGCACAAGACCTAAACAGAACTACCTGGGTCAGCGTGGTTCACCTCCCTGCTGGCCTGGGAAGCAGTTTGAGCGGAGTAAGAACAGGAGAGGGATTTGACACCCTACTGGGATGGCTCAGGGACCCAAAATGCAGAGCTGTGGCCTGGAGGAGGGTGCGTGTCTGTGCGCCCCATGCCCACAAGGCTGGGTGAAAGCAGCCTTTCTTGCTGTGTTTGTGAGGAGTCAGAGTGAGTCCCCCATGACCTTTGGCTGTGCAAGGAATGGCAGCCCCACCCCTGCTTCCATCCTCCCCACAGTGTGGCCATTTGCTTAGTCATAAATCAGGTGGTGCTGACTCTAATCACGTCAGCAACTGTGTGCTGCTGGGCAGGTGCAGGTGTGCTGGGGACTTTGGTGGGGTGTTGGGCTTGTGATAGGGGTTTTCTATGGTTGTCGGGGTGTGGGTGGTGCCCGTTCTCTTAACCTGGGCAAAGAGAAAGAGTACTGGCTCAGCCCTGCAGATATTCAGTGACTGGTCTATGTGGCAGGTGCGGGGCCTGGCCATTGTGGGGCGCAATGGTGACATCGAAGCACATGGCTTGCAGCACGAAGGGCAGCGCCATCAGGGAGACACAGTGCATCCTCCAGGGGACTTGGTGGGAGCCCTGGAGGAGGTGGTGTTTGAGACAGGCCCTGCAGGCTCCAAGGGCTCTGCCCAGGAGGGCTGAGGGAGCAGCTTCCATCCCAGCAGGGGCAGGAGCAAAGGCAGGAAGTCACAGCCTGGCATGATCCCCCTGCCCAGGCACACAGAGGCCAGAGCTTGGGACTTATCAACAGGCACAGGGAGCATTCAATGGCTTTGTTAGCAGGGGACTCGCCCCCGGGGCTGTGCCTTGAAGGACGTTACTTGGTTACTTAGTATAGGGGGTGAGGACCATCCCAGGGGATCAGTGACATCCATGAGAAAGGTGATGGGGGCCTAGGCAAGCCTCAGGGGTGTGGGATAGGAAGGTGACTGTGCTAGGACTGAACTCATTCCCCAGTCTCACTCTTTCTCGTCCTGGGGGTCCCTTCCTGCTTTGAATCCTTAGCTGGAAAGAGAAGCAGCACGGAATGGAATGTGCTTCATGTGTCCTGATTAAAGAATCTTTCCAGTGGAGCGGCTTAGAGAGAGCCTTTGGGATGGGGGAGGGGAGCGCCCCTGCCAGCACCTTGTGGGCAGTCTGGGCCTCCCAGGCTGAGGGGGGCTTTTGCTGTGAATCTGAGCCTGCAGTGCTGTGTGTTGCCTGCACCCCTTGCTTCCTCTCCGACCAGCAGGTGGGCAGTGAGCTGGGGCTCCGGTGGGGGCTCCTGCTCCGCACGGCCTCAGACCCTGTCTGCAGACCTTCTTCCGTGTGGGTCCTTAGCACACTTGGGGGCCTGCTGTGCAGGGGGCTGCGTGTCTGAGGCAGCGAAGGGGCACTGAGGCAACGAGAGAGGCCGCTGGTTCCCCCCTTGACTGGCCAGTCACCGTGGGGGGCACGTTTGCTGCACCCCATGTTCGTGTGTCTCCTCTTCTCTCATCCCCCCCACGTCTCTCCACCCTCCATCCCTTCCTGTTGGGATGCAGACTCCTCCACCCTTCCTGTTCCCATCTTTGCGCTAGGCCAGACGAGGCCAGGCTACCTTGTCAGCCGCACCACCTCTCACAGCCTTGCCTCAGGTTTCCTGTGGGGTTAGTGAGGGAAGAGCAGAAATCCCCAAATGGCCAACTCCTCCGTGAGCATATGCGCTGTTCCCATCCAGCAGAGCAAGGTTGGCAGCCAGACCTCAGTAGGGTGAGGCCCCCTCTGGTACTTGGACACCCAGATCTCACTCAGGACAGCATCTGTTCTAGGGGTGCTCACCAAGATCAATACTGCCAGAGCTGGACGCATGGCCATTGCAAGTGAAAGTCAGATTTTGGGATACTTTTATGGAATTCTAACCCCTTGGGTATCAAACCTACATTTCTGAGGATAGAGATATGTTTACAGCATGTGGCATTATGACCTTGGACAAGTGACCCCTCGAGCCCCGTTTCCTTTGTGAAAATGAAAGAAGGCTTCTCCCTCAGGTGTCCTGGGAATGATATATTTCGCCTAATTTTAATGAATCTATTGTGTTTTTGTAGATTATTATGTTTCCTAAAATACTTTTTGGGAGTTTTTGCATATGAAAATGTGAACTCATATTTTAGACTTTTAGTTCTGCTAGTTGCTTAGATAGATCCATCATAGGCTGTGAATTATCATTTCTTTTAGACTTCTGTGTTTATTTTCTGCAGTTGGGGTAGAGAGACTGTGAGCAGGGAGCAAGGTGGAGAGGAAAGGCAGATGCAGCCGGGCGTGCAGGCCTGACTCCCAGCAGCACTGCCGGAAGGATGGCAGATGGCCTCTGTGGGCTTTTTTGGGTTGTGTTTTTGCTTTGGAGAAGCTCACCACTCATTTCCTTAGGCTTAGGGCAGCAGAAGGAAAAGTTTTTCGTGTCCAGCTTTCGTGATTTCTAAGACACAGTGTCAGACTTCTCCAGCTCCGAAGTGGTTCCCCTGTTGTGTTTCGGTTCTGTATCCTGCATTGTGCATTTGACTGCCTCTTGCTGAGTACCCAGTATTTCTGTCACGCTGGATGTTGTGGGTGAAGGGAGCCTGAGGACAAACCATGGCCTGTGCCCTTGAGGGGTGGGCCCTCTATTGTGCAGAAGTGTCTAGATTACAGGAAGGAACAAGGTGCTGTGGTCAAGTCGTCCCCCTCATTTCACATGGGCTCTTGATCTGAGTGGAATGCTATCCTGGAAACCTGTTTCATTCTATAAAAATGATCAGAGTTGATGGGAAACCCATGAAGGTGAAACAGATGTGTGTCTTTGCAGAAGACACAGTGAAACAGATGTGTGTCTTTGCAGAAGACACAGTGAAACAGATGTGTGTCTTTGCAGACGAAAGGGAGGGCCTGGGGGAACTTGGGGTAAATACTTTTGGTCACAGAGGGCATCACCTTGCCCACTGTTGTGTCACAAGACCTAAATAGAACTACCCAGGTCAGCAGGCAGCATGGTTCCCCTCCCTGCTGGCTTGGGAAGCAGTTTGAGCAGAGTAAGAACAGGAGGCCGATTGTAGATGCCACAGCATGGGGGTACATTTCCCAAGGCTGACTGGCTGAGACCACGTGAAGCATGTCTGAGTTGTGCAGGCTGCAGACCCTTCTTCCTTCACTGCACATCTCTCCCCTGGCATGAAAGTTTTCCTTTTCTTCCAGGGGCCGTTGTCTTTTTGCATTGGAGGTTGTGGGCCTTAGCCCCAGTTGTTGAGGACTTTAGGAGGCTTTGGTGCTTTCCAAGCCTTTGCTTAGGGAAAGGCAGCTTCCTCACGGCCCTTCCTCATGGCATTCCCTCTCCCTCTCCCTCTTCCTCCCTACCTTTTCCTCCTCCCTCCTCTCCTTTGACCTTGATCCCCTGAGCTTTGTGTCAAGGAGGTCTTCATTACCGAGTTTTCCCCTGAGCGAGGTTTCAACAGTTCTCATTCTGGTTGGTCTGTGATGTCAATTCCAGCTAACCCTTGTTCCGGGAATTAGTACAAAGCCTTTAAAATCCAGAGAAATCAGGTCAGGGTTTTGAGAGTCCCCTAGCCAGCCTGCAGCCGTCATTCTTTTGTGGCACCTCTGAGCTTCCCAGAGTTCCCACCCCTGACCCTTGGTGTCTCTAGGGCCCTCCAAGACCCTGCCCCGCCGTCACCACACTGACTTTCCCGCAGGCTGGTGGGAGGAGAGTCTTACGGCATCTGTGGGGCCACCCTCAGCCTTTCACTCCAGGCCCCTCTTAGAAGCATCACTCTGACCTCTCCAGCAAAATGAAAGGTAGGATGCCCCCTCTGAGAGAGCCCTCCTGGCCGTTCTCAGGCCTGCTGTAGGCACACAGCATGTTCATGTGCTGAGAAAAGGTAGGGTTTGGCCAAGAGAGTCATTGTAGCTGGTTTAGGAACCTGGCCTCTAACCAGATTGTCTGCCCTAAGGAGAGAGAGTTCCTCTGTCTTCTATCCTGTCAGGTTCCTGGGGCCCGTAATGGAACCTTGTCCATGATATGTGCTCATTGAGTACAAGGGGTGGCTCCAGGAGACTTGAAGGTCTTAAATCTGGGGACTTCGAACTCATGATTGTTTATAAAACTTAGAAGCATGGAGGGATGCGGTGATCAGATTGGGGCAAGGGAGAGACCCCACTTCTCTTTCTGTATATGTATGTTGGGGTACAAGTGTAATTTTTTTGATTTTTGAGCCACTTGAAAGTAAAGTTGCAGGCTGAGCAAGGCGGTTCAGGGCTGTAATCCCAGCACTTTGGGAGTCTGAGGCGGGAGGATTGCTTAAGCCCAGGAGTTTGAGACCAGCCTGGACAACATAGTGAGACCTTGTCTCTACAAATAATAAAAATAATTAGCTGGGTGTGGTGGCGTGCACCTGTGGTCCCAGCTACTTGAGAGGCTGAAGTGGGAGGGTCGCTTGAGCCCAGGAGATGAGGCTTCACTGAGCCATGATCACGCCACTGCATTCCAGCCTGGGAGACAGAGCGAGATCCTGTCTAAAAAAAAAAAAAGTAAAGTTGCAGATAGCATGATGGCTCACCCCTACATACTCTCCTAGCAATGACGGTGTCTCTTGTGTATCACAGGAGACCATTTGTCACACCTAAGAACATTAACAATCATTCTGTTTCATCATCTCATATGCAGTTCGTATTTAACTTCCCAGTTGTTCCTAAAATACCTTTCCCCATTATTCCCTCTCTAAACCAGTCTCCTTCGTGTGGTGCATTTGTTTGTTGTGTCTCTTTGCTGTCTCCACCTTTTTCCTCCCCACGTCATCATCTTTTTAAAAAGATTCCAGACCTGGTGTCTCGTGTCTGATTTTGTCTTGATTGTGTCCCTGTCATATTGTTTGATTTGTCCCACAATCCCTCTGATTTGTTGTCAACCAGAAGATGGGGCTGGAGGCATGGTTGATTTAGGGTAAACATTGTTGCCAAAATTACTGTGTAGGTGATGTCAAATCCTTTGTATTTTGTCATGTCAAGCAGGCACATAATGGCAGATTATAGGGTTTTGTGCCCAAATAAAAAAATTTGTTACCATCCACTTAACTAAAAAGGAATTTAAAATCATACATTAATATGGGAGACCAGGCTGGGCACGGTGGCTCATGCCTGTAATCCCAGCACTTTGGGAGGCTGAGGCGGGCGGATCACCTGAGGTCAGGAGTTGGAGATCAGCTTGGCCAACATGGTGAAACCTCATCTCTACTAAAAGTACAGAAATTAGCTGGGCATGGTGGTGGGTGCCTATATCCCAGGTACTCGGGAGGCTGAGGCAAGGACAATCCCTTGAACCCGAGAGGCAGAGGTTGCAGTGAGCCGAGATAAGGTAGACCAGTGAGAACGTGGAGGTGATGACCTTGGCTAAGGGTCTCTGCCCTGTCCCCACTGCCAGCTGCACTGAGTCCTTGGATGCAGAGGCGGCTGGGCTCCCTTTCCATCATTTAATAGTCACGTGACTTTGGACAAGCTCTCTCCAAGCCCTGTTTCCTCAATGGTAAACTAACCATAAGACTGTTAGTGAGCAGGACACCATGGCTCATGCCTGCATTCCCAGCACTTTGGGAGGCCAAAGTGGGAGGATCACTTGAGCCCCGAAGTTCAAGACCAGCCTGGGCAACATAAGGAGACCTTGTCTCTACAAAAACATAAAAAAAAATTAGCCAGGTGTGGTGGTGCACACCTGTGGTCCCAGCTTCTCGGGAGGCTGAGGTGGGAGAATTGCTTAAGCCCAGGAGGTCAAGGCTACAGTGAGCTGTGATTTGCGCCACTACACTCCAGCCTGAGTGACAGAGCGATACCCTGTCTCAAAAGAAAGATTGTTAGCGAGCATCAGGTGAGCTGATGCCTGGTACCTGTCCACACTCAGTGGCTGACTCTGTTTATCTTAGTTTTCCCCACTGGGAGGGAAGGAGGCAGGTAGTGCAGCGGGTGCACAGCGAGCAAGGGCTGGACAGCCTTGTGTAGCAACGCAGACCTGATGAGTGTAGCAGGGCTTGGGGTTGGCCACACTGCCAGTGTCCCCAGCCAGGGTGGGCCCCACTGACCCTGGAATCTATGGCAGAGGCCATCAGAAAGCTGTAAGGGCATTTGATCCAGCCCCTCCTGAGGCCGGAGACCCTCTTGCCTCAGCCAAGCTTGTTCTCTAAGGCGGGTCTACTCGCTTTTGTTCCTGCAACTCTAGCTTTTCTGGGTGGTCTCCCTTCAGTTACTCCACCCTTCCTCTGTTAGCTGGTATTTGTGATGTTTCAAGGGCCTGGGAGTCTGATTGAGTCCTCTTGTTACATGAAAGTTTAATGAATTTGGTTTTCTACAACCTTTCTTCTTCAACTGTCAGGTCCTTCTTGCCCCAAACATTTCCCTGGGCTCTGAATTGCTCATCCTCCTCCTCATGGCCTTCTGCTTCCCCTACCTCCCCTCCCCTAACCCCCATTCTTCCTTTTTAGGCAGGTGACTGCCCTGGCAAAAGCAGCTCTACACAGGAGTGAACAGTACTTATCACCAAATAAGGATGGAAGCTCTTTTCCTGTTTTAAATTTGGGGAGTTTTTTCAATATTTGGCATGACTCTGGTGTTTTAAGGAATGTGTTGTCATCTCCCTGCCTCTGCTACCCCCATCCTCCTAAGTCCCCACTCCCTGAAAACACTTGTTAGATTGATAGACATAGGTTTTTAAAATGTCAGCTCTGTCGAGGGGCAATAGATATGCAGCAGAATTCACCCTTAAGCTGTATAGTTAGATGAGCTTATACCCATGTGTACAATCACATCACCATCACCACGAATAGATAGAACAGTGCAGGCTGCTTTCCAAAAGTTCAGCAGGTCGATGGATGGATGGATGGATGGATACAGTAAATGATAGAACATGTCATCAATTAAGAAAAAGTTTTCTTTGACACATTATGTCTTTCTTTTTTTTTTGAGATGGAGTCTCGCTCTGTTGCCCAGACTGGAGTGCAGTGGTGTGATCTAGGCTCACTTGCAACCTCCACCTTCCGGGTTCAAGAGATTCCTCTGCCTCAGCCTCCCAAGTAGCTGGGATATAGGTACCTGCCACCATGCCTGGCTAGTTTTTGTGTTTTTAGTAGAGATGGGGTTTCTCCATGTTGGCCAGGCTGGTCTCGAACTCATGACCTCAGGTTATCCTCCTGCCTTGGCCTCCCGAAGTACTGGGATTACAGGCATGAGCCACCACGCCTGGCCTTGCTTTTCTTTAAAAGTAGTTGGTACACACACTCCTAGTGGTAGATTCAATAAAGAACCTATGGCTCCTCAAAGCCAAACCTGTTACATCTCTTAAGGATTATTTTTCAAAAATTTTTCCTGCAGTTTAGACTCTTGAGTGTTCATTTGACAATGCAGGGTTTTGTACCAACTTTGGTTGTTGTCTTGGTAGATGAAGGAAGCCAGGCACAGAGTATATATGCTCTGTGTTGGTGAATTTTGTTTTTGTTTTATTCATTTTCATTAACAGTTTAGTTCTGGGCAGATACATTTTGTATCTTCATGGTGTTTCCCATAGGAACCATTGGCTTTTAAAGTTTCTCTGATGGCACCAGAGGAGGACTGCAAGCCGCCCGGCATCTGGAGGCTTATCTGGTTGAATCATGAAAACCCATGCACATTTCACCCCCAACTCTGAGTACTTTTAATCTAATCACCACTCTCTTCCAAATGTGCAGTCAAAACCAACTTGCCACAAAGACTTAACCTCTTATTTTTAGTTTAATAGAAGTCCTTTCTGAGAATATAAATAGCTCCTTCATTTCATTAAGTATTCATTGGTGCTGAGGATACATGGTGGGTCAAGATGGTGGGTGAAGCCAGTCCACTTCCTAGTATCGGGGGATGCCCGCCTCAAGGTTGAGATGGGCAGGACAGCTTGTGGGGAGTGCACCAGCACAGACAGCAGCAGCCCGAGGAAGGGAGCAGATAGAGGCTGGACACAGGCGGAGATCTGATTCAGGCTGGCTCGTCATGTGAGCGGATGCCAAAGGGAATTAAAAAGCAAAGATGACACACAGAGCCATGCCACAGCCTATTGGGATGTCCTCTGTGGCTTGGTTCCTTCAAGACTGAGAATAGCTTCAGGGTTAAGGTCACCTCTCCCAGTTCTCCTACGGTGGTCCTTTCAGAGCAGGTCCTTCACTCATTTCCCTCTTGCTGCAGGAAGAATGCGGGGCATTTGTCATCTGGTCCCCACTGACCTTCATCATATGAGCTCCCTGTGCTTTCGCTCAAGTGGAGAATCTGCAGTCCTCTGAGGGTTCCTGGGTCCGTCCTGTGGCTCTTGTTTTGCACCTCCCCTCTCTCTGCCCGGAATACCCATAATCCCCCACACACGTGGCGAAGCACTTCTCGTTCTTTAAGACTCGCTCAAGCGACTGCACCTGCAGAGTCCCACAGCATTTCACACCGTCACATCACGGCCCCTTATATGTGACCATGATTAGTGTCTTCTTCACGCAGCAGAAACAGAAGGGCTCAGGAAGTGTTTTCCATCGTCGTATCTGCTTATAATTGTGCTGGTGTCAAGCAGATATCCAAGAATCATTTATCAGGTGACAAAATGATAAATCCCTTAACCTGGCACAGGGGTTGTCAGTCTCAGCCACCTCTAGAAGGCATTGTTGAAAATGCAGATTTGGTGCCACCCACCCCTGAATCTGGCTAACCAGGACGAGATGCAGAAATCTCCACATTTAACCAGCACTCCCAGAGAATCCTGAAGCAGCTTCCTGGTAACTTGGGAGGTGACTTGCAGAAATCTTGACAAAAAGTCCTAAGTTGTAGGGGAACACATTACAGATTCAAAGGAGATCCTGGAATATTTGCTGGAGGAGGTGATATTTTCTCTGTGCCTTAAATGACAAATGAAAGATGAACTCGTATGAAGGAGCTGGTGAGAGATACCAGGCTGGGAGTGGGGTTCAGGTTACCTGGGCACCAAGCTGGACATGGGGGGCCTCTGGCAGGGTTTTGAATAAAGTAAGGACTGTGGGAGTTTGCTTAGGTTCTCCTGCTGTCCTGAGGCTGGAGCCCGACATGGGATCTCGTCATGTCAAAGTTGCTGGTCTGCTCAGGATTTTGTTTTTTAAACTAATGTCTAGTGACCACTATTAACTGTGAGAATTTCTAGCTGCAGAAACCCACTGCCTCTTCACATATTTAAGATATATTTTCCCTGTAGACAGGTCAGAAAAACTTCTTTTGTAAAAGGCCAACAGTAAATAGCCTAGGCTTTGCGTGTCTCTGTTAATGCTGCTGAGCTCCACCGTGATAGCGTGAAAGCAGCCTTAGACCGTGAGTAAATAAATGGCTGTCCTTTGTTCCAGTACAACTTTACTTACAGAACAGGTAGCACCCCAGGTTTGGCCCACTGGCTGGTTTGGCCGCCCCTGGTGTAAAGAAAAGCACAGTTTAATGTATTTCCTTTCCAGTCTTTAGTACAAAATAAAAGAGCAGGCAGTCTTCTCGGCCTAGGGAGACCCACCTGGGTGCCTGAGGTTTACCTGGTCACATGAGTACGACAGGGGCCGTGCCTTGGGTGCAGAGAGAAGAGCTGAGAATTGACCGTCTTCACACTGGGCAAGCACCTAAAAAAGCCACTCTCATCACCTTCAGCCGTTTTCTTGGAAAATTGGCTTTGTTAATTGTGATCTAGGGAAGCTCTCGTTTAACGTGTGCATATGCTCTTGTTGCAACTTTCCCTAAGAACGTTTCAGTCAAGCCAGTGACAGAGCCCACACTTAGTGCTGGCGTCTTAACAGCTTGTGTCAGGCGGTGTTGCCTGGCTAGACGTGAACACATAATGCTGGCATGAGCAGCCCTTTCCAGATCATCTCGGGAGACTTTTTCTATCGTCATCTATTTCAGGGGAACTCAGGGTCCCAGCAGCTTGCAAATGAGCAAGTATCTTTACAGCAGCGCTCTCGGGACCTTTAGTCCTAGTTAAGCCACCAAATGCTCACCCTGAAAGGTGCCCAGGTCGGATGCCAAGGTCAGGTTCAGGCTGAGGTCTGACTGAAGAGTGGAAGCCAGATCCAGTCTTTCCTTTTGCCATTTCCAGTGGATCACCAACACAGTGTGATGTGTGATGGCCACATTCCTAAGGATAAAATCTCTAAACGCAATTCACCATTTGTATTCCACTGCCCTAGGATGCACTGGTTGAAGTCTGAAACCATGGTAAACCAGATGGCATTTGGACCATTCCATACAGCATCCGTCCCTAATTACACGCTGTCCTTTCAGTACAGTCCTGAAAATTTGTGCTTATGGAATACCTAGAAGTCAAACAGTGTTTTCCCTTTGACGTACATTCCCACTTCAGGTGTCCTTCACTTCCGCTATCCTCTGGGCCCCTCTGGCAGGTAATTATAACTGGATGGTTGTTGAAGGGCATGCCTGTGGGAGTGGTCAACAGCAATGCATCTGGTTTGTATGGTGTAGCCTGCGTCTGTGCCTTAAAGCCAGCACCCTTCCTACTCTGGATTGATGTCATTGCATGATTAAACAGCCAGGAGAGCATCTGTAACAAGGAAGTCTTGACCTCACTGGCTCAGAATGGTGTGTGCTGGGCTCTGGACTTGCAACGAGACTGCTTGTCCTTTAGCTAGAGCCAGTTTGATTTCTCAGTCCAGTTCCTGTTTCACTGTGGGTAGGACTTGCTGCCAGACAGCTCAAAGGGAAGGATGCTGGGTCCCTGTCTCGCTGGCCAGGCCACTGACTAGGCTCTCTGGGGCATTTCAGGATTTGGATGTGTGAGAGTTCCCAGCCCTGCAAACAGGAGGAGTCAGTTTAATATTTTACCCTCAAAATTATATTAAAAATAGTGATTAAGTTCTCATGCTAACCCATAAAGTCACTTTAATGTGACTTAGCTGAAATGCTGTACATTTCCATTAAAAAATGGTAGTCTTTTTGAATAGCTAAAGTGTTCATGAAGTCAATATGAAGTATCTAAAATATAATCAAATCATGTCATTTGAGGATCTCTGCATTTAGTTTGAGGATGTGGGCAGCAAATTTAATGGAGATTCTGCAAGTTTTCTGGGCCCTTTAAAATATATTAGAATGTCTTTAAGTATTTTTATGATTAAGCAGAATATTTATTTTATCTGCTGTCACGTTGTAACTTACAGCTCTGTAGATCTAGATCACTATTATGATTTATCTGTAATCGGTGATTAGGGCAGTTTTTGATTTACAAAATGAAACAACGGAGGGAAATTTGTTCCTGTGATAACCAATAAGAATTTTAAAGGGAGGAGGAGGGAGGTAAAAAAGCAGAAATACACTGATGTTTAAAAAGGAGTTTATAAGCTCAGCAGGAAAGAGGGAACCTCAAATGCCCGCAGTCTCCCGCCTGCAAGAGGAAAGGTGGTGATGGCAGGGGCCGGTGTTGGGGTGTTGGCACTGACCACGGGGCCCACCCTGGAGCTGCCTGGGTGGGAGGAGAGTGGCAATGGGGAGGATGAAGAAGCCACTGGCTGTGGCTGCATGGCACAGGAAACCTTTGCAAACTGGGGCTTTTTCTTCTAGGTGTGCCTGCATTTACTCATGTGCTGTATGTCTATGGAAAAGACTGTTAAGCTGTCAAATAGTGAACTACCTCGGTAGTTCCCGATGCCGTGATCATGGTTTTGGTCTCGTTTCTTTTAGGTTACCCCTGTTTCAGGCCAGTGCTTTTGCATTTTTGGCCCCTGCTCGAGCCATCCTGTCTTTAGATAAATGGAAATGTAACACCACAGGTAATTGCAGTTATTTCCACATATGTCATTGGGGTCCTTTAATGCAGGTGTAAAGGGAGGCCTGGACGTGCTGCCCTCAGCAGCGCTAAATCCTTTCAAGAATTAGGGACAAAGCACACAAACCCACAAACAGCTTAGAATGCTCCATCTGTGGATCGTGTCTGTCTCTCTCTTTCTGTCCACTTGTTCATCCCTAACCCTAGAGCAAGAAAGGATCAGAATTGACCTCATTTCTCTATGTTAATGAAATTGACAAATATGGGAACGGAATAGAAAAATATTTGTGCTATTTTTCTGCCTCTCTCTTTCAGTGGATTTTATGACCCACCAGTAATCACTCTCTTTGCTGCGTCAGCATCCCTTCTCTGAAACATCTTTGCTTTTTAAGGATCTGGCTACTGTGGTTTGCTGCAAATGACTTTCATTCCCCTTCTTTAGTGATTGCAAAGATCCTTAAGGAACCCGATAAGGTCAGGAAAAGATAGGGAATTTAAGAAAATTAGAGTCAGACCTGTACTCTCAAAAATACAATTACATTTTGACCTTCTAGGAGCAAAGTTTTCCAGCCTTCATTTCCTTCCTTGCTCCTAGGAGTTACTTTGTGACCACTGATTTGATCTGGGAACTGGAAAAGGCCCTCTGTTTTATCTAAGTTTTTCAAACCTCAGTCCAGCAACCTTGCTGTCGGGCATTTCAATGAGCTGTGTGCAAAGGTTGGTTTTTTTGTGTGAGGCTGGTGCTAGTAACGTGTATCACCACTTCAGTTAGCTTTTGACAATTTGGGGAGCTCTTAGTCGATGAATTCATTTGGTTAAATTAGCATTTGAGGATCCACCTTTCAGTGAGATAAGCTATACTGTTGGAGGTTGAATTTTAGGGATGGGGATTGAAACAGATGTAATAAAAACAGGGAGAAAATTCTTCTTAAAAGGTAAAATGAATATGTCATGTGAGACATCAGTGTCACTCCAAGAAAAACTTTGTTTTTGTTTTCAAGATGTTTCAGTTGCCAATGGAACAGCAGAGCTGTTGCACACAGAACACATCTGGTATCCCCGGATCCGAGAGGTAAAAGACAAGCGTTGTCTGCTTTTGGCTTCTTCATGTTTCTTCTCAGCTTCAATGTTGGTTGACCCAAGAAATAGCAGTTACTTTTACTGAGCCCTTCTTTTCTTTTTCAATTACTGATAGTTTATTTCTCTTGTTTAAGTAAATGTAGTTAAGCAATACTCTAAAATAAAGCATATGGAAATGCTCTGGGCAACCTTAAGGAATGGTTTCCTCCCTCCTGCACACCCACAGACCTGTCCACTCACACCCGCCAGCACAGCTAGCTGAGGTTCGTGGCTCACTGGATGGAGCTACAGAGGCTCATCATCGACAGATAGCAGAATTGTTCGCTCTGGCCTCAGTGTTTGCCTGTGTTCATTGAAAGAACTAAAGATATTTGTCTGCCAAAGTGCAATTGAACAGAAGCAGACATGAAGTACGGCTGACAGTGTATTAATATTTTCCAAAACGTGTGAGATAATTCACCATCAGTTCAGAATGAGCACAGATGTGGCCATTCTGCACACTAAAAACATCCCTTTAGAATTTCTGTCAACAACATTGTCTTGTCGATGTCCTGGGGGGCTCACTCTTTAAAGCTGAGAGTCTTTATGCTGCAGTGTTCCTCTAAGGCTGGTCTTTAAATGTTGTGTTTCTTAAAAGGGAATTATAAATTTTTGCCTGCATCGTTTAACAGTGAAAAAGGCATGTGGGCCGTGTGTCCAGGACCTATTTCTGTAATACACCTGCATCATGAATGCAGGCCCCAGTTAGTGCCCCCTGAAGTTTCTTGTCGGGTCCTGGGGAATTTTCTAGCTATCTCTCCCAAGTTAGATGATGTAATAACTTATTGCCTTGCAGAATTATCAGTTGTGGTTGTAGGTGACATTCTGAGTGTGCAGTGTACAAGCAGCTCACTCTCATGTCTGTGCCATCTCTTGTTGCAGATCCAGGGGGCCATCATCATGTCCTCACTGATAGAAGTAGTCATCGGCCTCCTCGGCCTGCCTGGGGCTCTACTGAAGTACATCGGTCCCTTGACCATTACACCCACGGTGGCCCTAATTGGCCTCTCTGGTTTCCAGGCAGCGGGGGAGAGAGCCGGGAAGCACTGGGGCATTGCCATGCTGTAAGTGGAAACATCTCCCCTCATCCCACCACTGCGGGGCAGCCTTTAGGAACATTCACACAGACTTCAGGAGATAATGTTTTTCAATAATAAGAATGGTCTGACAGTTTCAACTTTATTTGCTTCGTGCTGGGGAATAGTTGAAGGGTTTTTGACCCAGAGTTTGGGAAGTGACATATAGTTGACGTATTACAAAGACAGACTTAGCAGCAATATGAAGAGGGTGGATTGTAAGTTTTTAAGCTTTGGTAGTGGGGTAAGGTAGTGGCGCCATTTGTTTTTGACTTTTGAGGTCTTGCCAAGTCTCATGTTCATGAGTTGACATACTGAGAAGCCAAATTTTTATATCATGAGACTCAAAAATATTCCAGAGTGGCAGGAATCTGGAGTATTTCCAGAGAAGTCGTGGGAAAGGTCTGTTGCCATTGATGATGTGACTCTTCTCCCCAGGCCACACTGAGCTCTGCACTCCTGACGGGTGGGTGGTTGGGGGAGGGACATAGTTTCTGCCAGGGTCCTGCTAGTCAGTGCCTGTCCTTTTGTACAGAATGTCACATCCATTAAAGATGTCCCTTGCCCTTTAAGTAAAGTTAACATTTTGTGTTAATGAAGTCACAGGGGAGTTTGATAATATTACTGATGATTAGAGTCACAGAACTCTTTGTAACACAGAGCCCACATTCTCTATGTGTCTGCAGAGCATGTTTAAGAGTTGATTATGTGTAGGTATATGGTTCCATTACTCTGGAATTTAACCAGCCAGTACAACTCCTAAAACAAAATAAGTCATCACATAAGAGAATTTTTCATTTGCTCTGTTTTGTGAAATAGTCTGCAGTTATTTAATAACAGGTGGTATTTATTGATCTTTTACTATGCATCAGTCCTTTATATAACACTTGTATATAGTATCAGATAAGGCACATCCTAGTGTTATCCCATTTAACAGCAGAGGACACTGAGCACCACGACGTAATGTGATTTGCCCAGAGTCATACAGTGAATTAAGTGGCCACCGTGGGTTTCAAAACCCAGGTGGTGGACATGGGCCCGAACCCATCATACTCAATCCTGTTCTGTGTATTAGAACATGACGTACAAATAAAAGGGAACCATAGCAGAATTGTTATCTACACTTTACAAATTAAATTAAGGTGTGTGAAAATATCAAGTTTTTTTTTTTCTTTAAACAAGGTTTGAAGGAGACACATCTCACACATGAGCATGAATACCCATCATCATGCTTTCCCAAAATTGTTCTTTTTTTGCAATGGAGTCTCGCTCTGTTGCCCAGGCTGGAGTGCAGTGGTGCGATCTTGGCTCACTGCAACCTCCACCTCCCGAGTTTAAGCAATTCTCCTGCCTCAGCCTCCCGAGTAGCTGGGATTACAAGCACCCACCACCACACCCGGCTAGTTTTTGTATTTTTAGTAGAGACGGTTTCACCATGTTGGCCAGGCTGGTCTCAAACTCCTGACTTCAGGTGATCTGCCCACCTTGGCCTCCCGAAATGCTGGGATTACAGGCATGAGCCACCGTGCCCAGCCCAAAATTGTTCTTACTATTCTCATTTCACCAAAGGTTGGTCAAAACATTCTTCACACCAGCAGAGATGGGAAGATGGCATGTGAGAATAGTCTTTCAGCGAAATGTAATTAATGCCAAAATGGATAAATTGTAGGTATAGTACAGTAAAATTTGAAACCAGTAACAAAAGGATGAACAAAACCCACAAAGCACTTACAAGCTTAAAAAAAAAAGTGTTAAAAATCACTCTCAGAGAGGAAATTGAAACTTTGCAATTAATTACTGATAGTTTAGGAAATGATGGCAAGAACAGCACCAGTCACACTTAGTAGCCAGAGGTGTTCTCAAGAAAATTCACAACCTTTAAAGCAGATACAGCACATGAAGAATTTCAGTAACTAAGAAAACAGGACAAAAAAATGAACCTAGTAAAAGCAGGGGGAACGAATTAATAAAGATACAGAAAATGTGACACAAATAGAAGTGGTAAATCTAAAAGCTGATCTCTTGAGGGGGAAACAAAACCCAATGTAGACAAACTTCTGGCAAAGCTAAGCAGGATAAGAGGAAGCCTGTGCACATAGATCTGCCACAGATCCCGTCAGAGGGAGCAAAACTGTTACCTCCCCCCAAATTAAAACAAAAAGTAAGAAAATAGTGGTTTTCAGAAAACTTAAGTAACCAAAATTGACTCCTCCTCACTCTTATCTCTAAGTATGGGGGTGCCTCCACACTTGATCCTGGCCCCCTTCTCTCCATGCACTTCCCCCAAGGAAATCGCATTTCTTTGATGGTGGATAGTTCCATGGAAACCTGTAGTTCAGACCTGTAAACTCGATACTTACAGATCCAGCCCCTATTTTGCCCCTCCACTTACTGTTACACAAGACATCTCCATCTGTAAATGAAAAAGCCCCAGACTTTTGATTCCTTTCCTGCCCCTGAAACCAGTTTCTTCTGCTTTCCTCCTTTCGGTGAATGGCACAACCGTGCCCCTAGTTGCTTCAGCCAGAAATGTCTATCTGTTCTTCAGTCTTCCTTTCGCCTCATCCCCCACACAGCCCATCCTGCCCTTCCTCCTCCGGAACAAATTCTGAACCCGTTCTCTTTTGCAGGCCTTCACTGCCGCCACCCTCTGCGAGCCTTGCTCGCCCTTGGCCATTGATTCCTCACTGTCCCCAGCTTCTCCCTCATGTCTCCCAGGGGTCCTCCTCTCTCCCCTCCTTTTGAAACATCAGTTAGACACAAGCTAGAATTCTGGAAGCTTTGGGGTTTTCTTACTGTTCCAATGTCTGGAGCCTCACGTGCTGCCCTCGGTGGGTCTGCTTGCGTCTCTTGGCCTGGATACCTGGAGCCCCTTTGCTCTGAGCACCCAGGCATGCAGAGGTGGGACATGATCTTGAATTATCTAGATGCCTTCCTCCACTCCACCCTTACTTGTCTCTTTCTGGAACCTCTTCCTGAAGCCTCCTGGACTCTTCCTGTTTCCTCTCCTGTTTTCTATCTCTTTGTCTTTTTTCTCTATTCGTGAGAATTCTCCTTTGCTTTATCTCTTATTCCTTCTGCCAAGATTGTCATTTATGCTCTGGTGTTTTTTCAGTTTCCAAGAGCTCTTCTGTATCCTTGGGCTGTCAGCTCTGTGAGAGCAGGGCCTACGCTCTGGGTGGGTCACCTCTGCACCCCCAGCACCTGCCCCTCCCGTGGCTGAGCTGGTGCTCAGTGAGCAGGTTGTGAACTAATAAAGGAAGGCTCAGGAAGCCCGGTAAACCCATGACCACAAGAGCAGCCGAGATAGTTGCTGAAGGACTCTGATTCCTAAAAGAAGCCCTGGGCCCAGATGGTTAGACAATGAGTGCATTCAGTCTTCAAGGAACAGAGACTATATGCACTAACTTGCAAACTGTTCCAGAGCTCTGTGAAAGGAGGGAAACTCCCCAGCCAATCTTAGCGGCAAATTCTGACTGAACTAATACAAAAGGAGAACCATGGACCATTGTTTTCTTTCCTGGGGTTGTGTTAAAAAACAAACAAATCCTGAGCTGATGGATGTATTGCGGCACATTCTAAGCAACGAGCCCTGAGTTCAAATGTCTTCAGGTAGCGTGCTAAAGTTCAGCATCATTCTCTACTGTAAGACTCCTTCCAATCTTTCAAAATGCAAATGCGCAAAAGACTCTATTCACCTTCAGAAAAGGGCCTTAGTATCCAGCCCTGTCCACCCTTAATTTGTTTTTTAAATGTCACACATCTATAAGCATATCTTGACAGACTATTCCTTAGAATGTTGTTTGGGAAGATGCTGCTACAGATAACACAATGAAAGAACAAGGCATAATGCGTCATTTCAAGAATTCACAGATGATCAAATATTAGAAAATGTGTTGAAATCGATCATGGCTCCATGGTAGGTTTTTTTTTATTTGTTAAATTTTGAGACAGGATCCCGCTCCATCACCCAGGCTGGAGTGCAGTGGCACAATCTCAGCTCACTGTGGCCTCTGACTCCTGAGTTCAGGCGATTCTCATTCGTCAGCCTCCCAAGAGTACCTGGGACTACAGGGTAGATTTTATTAATAAGGTCTTATTGATAAAACTATGGTAATAGTCCCTTCCCCTGAATTTTATTTTTAAAATTCAACCTACATCCTTGTTGCAAACTTAGCAATGTGAGAATAGGAGGATTTTTTTTTTTTTTTTTTTTTTTTTGAGACAGAGTTTTACTCTGGTTGCCCAGGCTGGAGTGCAGTGGGGCAATCTCGCTTACTGCAACCACCACCTCCCGGCTGCCAGCAATGCTCCTGCCTCAGCCTCCCAAGTCGCTGGGATTACAGGCATCCGCCACCACTCCCGACTAATTTTTTTGTATTTTTAGTAGAGACAGGGTTTCACCATGTTGGCCAGACTGGTCTCAAACTCCTGACCTCAGGTGATCCACCCACCTCAGCCTCCCAAAGTGCTGGGATTACAGGCGTGAGCCACCGTGCCTGGCTGTATAGAAGGATCTTTATGCGTAAGATAAACATGCCTCCTACTTGAATGATGAAAGACTCAAATCAGTCCTGCCTTTTGAAGTCAGGAACTTAAATAAGCTTGTTTATTATCACGGGTATCATTTAAAGTTATTCTAGATGTGCTAGTCAATTTATAAAACAAGAAAGTAAAATAATGTGGACCCATACCAAAAAGATCAGAGAGGAGAGGGGATGGTGACTTGCCTGTAGAGGAATTAAATACATTCCACAACTTCATAAATAATACTGTGGTCCTGGGACAGGGGTAGACATTGGCAGAGCAGAGTAAGAAGAACAGAAACAGAATCAAAGAAAAATAAATATTTAGTATAGATGGCAGTCATATTTGAAACCAGTGGGGAATGGACAAATTATGTAGGAAAAACTAATTATTTTTGGGAAAAAGTTAGACTCCTAATTTATATCAAATTGTATTTCAGTTGAATTAAAGACTTAAATATACAAAATAACCATAAAAGTGCTAGAAGAAAACCTAAATAAGTTTTTAATCCTAAGGGAGGGGAGATCTTTCTTAAAGCAGATATTGAAAAGAGAAAGAGAAAGATAGATTTTACTATTGACACATTTAAAACGTCAGAAACCACTGAATTAAAAACAAATCTGTCGTGGCAGCTCACACCTGTAATCTCAGCACTTTAGGAGGCCAAGGTGGGCAGATCACTTGAGCTCAGGAGTTCTCAACCAGCCTGGCCAACATGGTGAAACTCCATCCCTATTAAAAATACAAAATTAGCTGGGTGTAGTGGCGGGCACCTGTAATCTCAGCTACTCAGGAAGCTGAGGCACATGAATCACTTGAACCCACGAGGTGGAGGTTGCAATGAGCTGAGATTGCACCACTGCACTCCAGTCTGGGCGACAGAATGAGACTCTGTCTCAAAAAAAAAGCTGGGAAAATACTCATAAAAATGTCACAAGAAAGGCTAACATCCCTAACTCGTAAAGAGTTCTACTGGTTAATTTAAAAGTGAGAGAATCCCAGTGGAGTAATAGATGAAGGGTGTGATAGGAGTAGCCATTTGGCAAAAAAGGGACTACACCTAGCTCATTAAAGTGTGAAAAAGGTTTATCCTCCCAATTTATTAAAATGTGTATTATCTACATGATTCTGTTGGAATTGAGAGTGAATGAGGTTGTACAAACTAAGTCACTCTGATGGAGATGGAGTTTAGAGACGGAGTCTCAGGGAAGGTTAGTGCGGCCGGTCAGTGACTGCTCTTTCTGGCACAGTGCATACGTCCTTGGTAGGACCTACATTTTAAAACTTATTTTTTTATTGACTTTTCTTATGGAAAATTTCAAACCTATTCAGAAGTGAAGAGAATAGTTTAATGAACCCCCATGTGTCAATACCAGGCACTCCAAAACAGTATACTTTTATCTATATCCCACTGTTTTTCAGCTCCCTCCAATTCAGTTAAATTCTAGGTATTTGAAATTTAACAGTAATTAAGCTCAGAAATCTAAAGCAAAATAATAGTCCCCTCCTACTCCATCTCTCAAAAAAATCTCATGATTGTTAACTAGTAAAAAATTTTGTTTTTATCCTTACATATTTTTATATTTTTATGCAAATAAGTACAAACTAGTATATATACATAATTTTATTCATTTTTACCCCAATAATTTGTTGGGTTTACTTCTCTGAGACAGCATGTTTAGATGATCTCTTTCTTTCTAAAGCTGCACAGTGTTTAGTAATGTAGTCTATAATGTATTCAGCCATTTCTCAGCTGATGCTCATGCATGTAGCTTAAATTTTTGCTGCTACCAAAAAAAATGCTGAAATATATACCTCAACGTGAAAAGACTGAGTATTAGAAGCAATGATGATACAGTTTTTCAATTAAAGCTGTTTATGTTGCTTCTGATGTCATACAGTATGGGAATTTTTATTTATTTATTTATTTATTTATATTTTATTATACTTTAAGTTCTAGGGTACATGTGCACAACATGCAGGTTTGTTACATATGTATACATGTGCCATGTTGGTGTGCTGCACCCATTAACTCGTCATTTACATTAGGTATATCTCCTAATGCTATCCCTCCCCCGTCCCCTGGTATGTCCATAAAACAGAATGCTAAGCAGTCACTAAGGTGCTGCTGCAAATCTCTGTCTGATGAGGCGGAAAAGCAAATAGATACTGAGGCAGGTCAGGAAGCTGCGTAAAGCATGATTCCAGTTTGGCTTAGATAATAACCTGTTCATGTCTGGGGACAAGGAAGATGACAATCTGTCTTCCTCCAGCACCCAGCAAATATCCAGGGAGTGAAAACTGTTCAGAACAGATAGACCACGATATTACATGGTTTTATCACTCAAGGGGGATTATGGATGATCTTCAGGGTTTTATCTTTTTCTTTCTGCTTATCTGTCTTTTAAATTTTTTGTACAATTTAGTATGTATTACTTGCGTAACATTTTAAAGTAAAAGTTAGCAAAGGTAAACATGAGGTGGGAAGCACCCAGTGGAGTAGACAGCAGCCCATCCTGAGAGCTGGGGCTAGAACGCTTCATCCCTTTGCTCAGTTAAGATGTGTGGACATGGGCGGGTCTGCACCTCTAAGCTGCTGCCTCTCTGTCACAGGGTGCCTGCCCCCAGGTGTATTTGAGAATAAAAATAAACTCGAAGTAGAGAGGTTTTAGAGCAGAAAGAAACAGTCATGTTCATCTGCTACCTAATCTGCTTTCTAAATTTGAGTTGCCAGATTTGGGCCTAAGATCTGGGTGTCCCTCCTCAAATTCTGTGTGGTCTCAGTCCCCTCTTAAATGTGCAGGTGTGTTGCCTGAAATAATGATGACAAAACTAGCAGGCCTGGGGCATCTTTGGATCTCCTAATATTCACTCTGAAACAAATAAGTAGCATTTATTTTTTCCAGACATGAAAATTGCATGTAGGTCTAAGTTTAAAATATTCCAGTTTTAGTATCCCTTGTTACCATATTGTTTTTTGTTAAACTTCACTATCCCAGAGGAATTGAAATAACGTGGGCACTGTGTGTGTTTTCGACCTTGAACTGGTACTGGCAGAGACCCCTGATGGATCACCAGTTCACCGAAGCGCCTGAGTAGGCAGGGAGACCCGTGGAGCAACACACGCATGTTCTCCAGCCGGGCTGCCATCCACACCTCATTAGGAATGTGACAGTGGAGTCACACTTGACCGGCTGTCGATGGGGCTAATGATTCCATCTCAACAATTGGAACTGTGCCCAGGAACAATTAAGCTTAGCTTTGACTGAGAACCTACTCTTCCTGCCAGCTCTACCTCAGGTTGTAAGTGAAAGAGCGAGACCGCGTGGAGGCTTAGACGCATTGTTGGGCACGAGTTTTGTTTCGGTGATGAGTAAAAATCCACCTGGGGGATGGGAAGTGGCCCCACACCTGCCAGCCCCGTGGGACACCAGACCGATGTCATGGACTGGTGTGTCAGGAAGTGCCATGGTCCTGCCGTGGAGGGGTCAGCACCTGCCTCCCATAGCACTTAGTGCAGTTCAGTCAGGACCGTGAGGCTCAAGGAGAGGGACTTACGCAGCCCAGCCTCCTTGCCCTGTGACCAGGGTGGCAAAAGGAAAGAGTTCAGTTCAAGCCATAGAGCTAGATTCCTGGTCCCCAGTGCTACAACCCTAGCCGTGTGATCTTGGACCTCTGGCTTTGTCTCTGTGAAAAGGAGACCATCTTAGAAGCCACCCCGTAAGGTTGAGATGCTGCACAGGAAGACATTAGTGTAATGTCTGGCACACAGAAGCCTCCCAGGAATGTTATTAATACTGAATTCTACTGTATCTACTTTTCTTGAGCAGTGAAGCTTACTTTTTGCTCTTTTAAAAGTAATTTATGCGTGCTGTAAGTAGATTGGAAAATACAGAAAAGTGGGAAAACCAGTTGCAAATCATGTAACTACTCAAAGCGAATCCCTGGGAGAATTTTGGATCATGTCCTTCTTACCTGTTTGTGTGTACGTGCAGTAGTTTCTTGGTTTGCTTTGTAGTTAATTCATAGTTATAATCTTACAGTTTATGTTGTATCTGGCATCCTTTCCCTTTACATAGAGTAAGCGTTTCCCATCAATGTGTACATTCTTTGGGTTTTCTTATTCTATTTAGGAAAAGCTGTCCTAAGGCATTTACATCAGAATTTCATTTCAGTATCAAGAAATGCTAGGCAAATTAGTTGTAACATCTTCCCCCACAGTAGTATTTCCAAAAGATGTACATTCCAATAGATATACTATTTCTCAAATGGTAGTTCAGAGGACTAGCAGCTTTCTAGGTAAATGAATTGAACACTATGTCAATTTTGCCATAGAAGCTTCGAGTGTTATTTTATAACAGAGACATAACAGCTTTTGACCTAGTTTGTTTTCTTTCTCTCCTCAGGACAATATTCCTAGTATTACTGTTTTCTCAATACGCCAGAAATGTTAAATTTCCTCTCCCGATTTATAAATCCAAGAAAGGATGGACTGCGTACAAGTTACAGCTGTTCAAAATGTTCCCTGTGAGTAGCTGACTTCTTCCCCTGCTGACATTTTTGCCCTTGGTTAATATGTAAGATGATTAAGTGAAGGGAGGGTTTTAAGCAGGCCCTCCTTGGGGGATCATATCTGTGCAGTGAGACCAGGCTACTAATGACCACTCAGATCATCATAGACTTAAACATTCTGATTCTGAAATGGGAGCACATCCTTTTAGCAGTGCCGAAGGAAGGGGACACTGTCCTTGGGACTGAGTAAGATTTGACTCCACGTGGCCTCTGCAGGCACGATGTCCATTCTTGTTTTACCAGCCAGACTTTGGAATGGGTAAGATAAGTTCACCTGAATGAAACTGCTCTCTCAGTGAGAGTCCATTCAAGGAAGGTCTGCAAAGTACTGACTGTGGTGGGCTCTGGGGTGTGATATTCCGACCGCGGGAAGACGTGTTTTTTGCCAACACCTGTGAGCCCTGCTGGCCTGACAGAGCTTCCCCTTGACCACTCCAGATCATCCTGGCCATCCTGGTATCCTGGCTGCTCTGCTTCATCTTCACGGTGACAGATGTCTTCCCTCCCGACAGCACAAAGTATGGCTTCTATGCTCGCACAGATGCCAGGCAAGGCGTGCTTCTGGTAGCCCCGTGGTTTAAGGTTCCATACCCATGTAAGTATTCTGATGGCTAGAGGGGTCAAGAGCCCACGAGGGCCCAACTGAGAGGGGTGGGAATTTGGCAGAACAGCCGTCTTTGTCCCAGACTGTCTCCTGAAGGCCTTGCCATTCTGGTCAGGAGAGGATTAGACAGCAAGTAAGGGAGGCCCTGTCCCCAGAGGGCAGAAACCAACACACAGAGACTGACCGGCTCCCTTCTCACATTAGCGAGCTGTCTCTTTTGGATCTGCTAGGATGAAATCCTGGACAAGGGGTCTCTTGCCAGGTTTAAGCTCTGGTGGCCAGGATTTGAGGGCAGCTGCTTAGATAGGCAAGTATAGAGCTGCTTGGTCCCAGAGCTGCCAAAGTGGAAAGATGTGAGTGGGAACAGCCTGGGGATTAGCAAGCAACCTGCTCAAGCATGATGGAATTTATATAATCTCTTAATGGGCAGCCATAATCTTTTAAATTTGGCCACAGCTGTAGAGGTAAGTTGATAGTCACTAATGGCCAAAAGCTGCATCTTAATTTGAGTGTTGTGTAACTGTTGGGGGTGTGAATACATTCCCTAGCTGGGGTGTCACCTGGACTCGCAGCTGGCCCCGTGTAGGTGATCCCAGTGGTTGTTACACACTTGGTTCCATTGTGAAGACTCTAGTCCCGGCGTCTGGGTTTTTATTAGAATTGGAGCCTGAGCTTAGTCAGGTTCAGCCCACTTCTTTCCCTGTGTAACCATCTTATTTTCATTTTTTATAATGACAAGGAGAAAAAGAGAGAAGCCAAGAATTTTAAGGTTGGGTTAAAGATGACTGCTCTGAGCATGTTGAATGATGAGTGTTGGCTGTTCTTTTTGTTCTCAATACACTTAGGAAAGCTTTAAAAAGTTTCGTCTTTCAGGCCGGGCGCGGCGGGACATGCCTGTAACCCCAGCACTTTGGGGAGGCCGAGGCAGGAGGATCACCCGAGGTCAGGAGTTCAAGACCAGCCTGGCCAACATGGTGAAACCCCATCTCTACAAAAATACAAAAATGAGCCAGGCCTGATGACGGGTGTCTGTAATTCCAGCTACTCGGGAGGCTGAGGCAGGAGAATCGCTTGGATCTGGGAGGCGGAGGTTGCAGTGAGTCGAGATTGCGCCACTGCACTTCAGCCTGGGAGACAGAGCAAGACTGTCTCAAAAAAAAAAGTTTCATCTTTCTAAAATAACTTTCTCATCAGATTGTATGGTCTAAGTGTGCATTTATACAGACCTATTCTTTTTCCAAGAAAGAATGTGCATGGTTCATAAACATACCTGTAGTCTGAGATAAAATGAAATTACAATTAGTTGGTGAGGCAGTCAGGGTGAGGGCGAGGCGGGGGTGGCAGGTAGGTAGAAGCCCCCACAGCGTATACAAGGTGGTCTTCTGCTTGTGCAGGCAACTCCCAAGGTGGGCGCCAGTAGGGGCACAAGCTGGGCTGTCCAGGAGAGGCAGCTGTACAGGTGCTGGGGCCAGAGGGAGTTCACTAGGACCCATGGGGCCACACACGAGAAGGCGAAACTTAGTAGACAGAGCGCCTGAGGTTGTGCTGGCCGTGAGCGAGCACGTAGGGCTCCTGGCCTGCCGAGGGCTGGTGGGGTACCAGAGCTCCATAGCTAGAAAGCCACCTCCAGGGATATAGTCGTACTACTGTATACATATGTAGTACTCTCCAGTGCTTTGTCTCAAGCCAGAGAGGGGCTTTTGAATACCTGAGCAGTGCTTTTCAGTCTTTAGTACACTAGGCATGGTCTGGACTGATTGTTAATATAATACAGATTTCTGGTGCAAAATGTCAACAGTGCTGAGGTTGAAAAACCCTGCTGTCAAGTAACAAACTAAATGAAAGTTTCTTGGTAAAAGGAGATATGAAATAACAGATTCAAGAGAGAAGGCTGGAAGCCAACAAGGTCTTTAAGAAAAAAAAATATAGATATAGATATATAGATATATATCTGAAGGAAAAAGGATCAAAATAAGAATCCCCCTTCAAAATCAAGACACTAAACTTGAATGCTACAACCAGAATTCTTGAAACCAGAATGCTACAACAATAACAAGATAACAGTATAAAAGATAATTGAGAAAAAGCAAAATGTTCCTTGGTGAGGAAGGCCTCTGAATGAGGAAAATCCATTCCAAATTAACCTGGAGCTGATACGTTGAGCAGGCCTCTTGCTGGTGGCATAGGGTGTGTCGAGCCCCATCCATCAACCTGCGTACCTTGCACCCCTGACCAAGGGCCGCCTCTGCATCCCCTGGCTGCTCCCACAGAATGAACAAGCCTGAGGCAGGAGCAATTCTGCCCTTAACCGCACTCCAGGCTTATTCTGCACGTCTGACTTTGTATCCTTTCTCTTCCCAATCCAGTGGTTGCTCTAGGCTACCTACAACACAGGCCAAACCCCTCTAGGTGGCTTAGATGGCTTTTGGAACACTTCCAGAACTTGCCTCCTGCCCTGTGCCCTGCATGAGAGCTCTGCGTTCACCAGAACACCCTCAAACCCCACCCTCCAGACCCTCCCGATCCCTGGAGGGGCACCTCCGTTCCCACCTCCTCCTCAGATCCTTCCCTGGCCAGGGCCCGACTTCGCCTTTTCCTGACCACCTCACTGGTGCTTCTTGTGACCCAGCTCAGCTTGCCTCCATTTGAAGTTGAGCAATTTCCCTCTCCCTGGATCTTTTGGAGTGTCCTGTGTCCCCAGCTACGTTGTTGGCTCCTGCATGAGAGACCATGTTTTAGCCATCGTTCTTTTCCCACTGTGCTTTCTGCTCAGTGAGTGTATTATAACTAATGCTTCAACGGAAGAAGGGCTACTCCTTTATCAAAGGAGTCTATTCATTCTCACACGAAAGAGACCCATGCTATTTTTGTTAAGTAAGACCTATGGCTTTCAAGTCCAAATAAATATACTTGTGAAGAAAAAAGTATCTAATGAGGGATTAAGTAAATGCGGAACTTAAAATGAAGTTTCAGTGGGGCCTCACTTTGCTTTCTGAAATGAAACTATTTAATTTCCCATAACATGGTTTATGATATAAAAATAAGGTTCTGGTATTATAGTAGAGAAGGACTGTCCATACCTTATGGATGCTTTACTGTTGGGATTTAAGTTTAGCTGGTGATTTCTCACTGCCTTTTCACTTGATGTCCTCCCCTGGGGAAGGCCACTGCTGCTTTGTACCCTGCTCTGTACAGCAGGGCTATAAATCCCTCATACAAATTTCCCAACGTGGCAGGGCACTTTCAGTTGTTATTTAGTGGATACTGAGTGTGGCTTGGAAGCAGGAAAGAGAAGTTACAGCCTCTTCCAGCCCAACAATGTCTTCTTCTTTTTCTTCTTTTTTTTTTTTGAGATGGAGTCTCGCTCTATCACCCAGGCTGGAGTGCAGTGGCGCAGTCTTGGCTCACTGCAACCTCCGCCTCCTAGGTTCAAGTGATTCTCCTGCCTCAGCCTCCCGAGTAGTTGGAATTACAGGCACATGCCCCCACGCCTGGCTAATTTTTGTATTTTTAGTAGAGATGGGGTTTCACCTTGTTGGCCAGGCTGGTCTCGAACTCCTGACCTCGTGATCTGCCTGCCTCGGCCTCCCAAAGTGCTGGGATTACAGGCGTGAGCCACCGCATCCGGCTACGATGTTTTCTTTTAATTAAAGACACAGTGCACATCAGTCCTCATTATGGCCGCCTTCATCTGACTTAGCAACTGTCCCAGGCATCTGGTGCTTAAGATTTTAAAATGAACAGTTTCCATGAGCTTCAGAATCCAAGTGGATCTTGTAGAGTCTTGCAGCGTTCAGAATGACTTTGGGTAACTGGTCCTGGTCACTTTCGCCTGCCTCTCTAGGAGCATTCATGGTTGTTTTCCTCCCACAGTTCAGTGGGGACTGCCCACCGTGTCTGCGGCCGGTGTCATCGGCATGCTCAGTGCCGTGGTCGCCAGCATCATCGAGTCTATTGGTGACTACTACGCCTGTGCACGGCTGTCCTGTGCCCCACCCCCCCCCATCCACGCAATAAACAGGTACGTTCCTGAGAAGACAAGTTCCTGATTGGTCCCAGCACCTTGTTACTTTGTTCTTAGGTTTACATTACCTTGAAGACAAAACCAAGAGTTTCAGCAGGAGCCCAGCCAAGCAGCAGGACTCTAGCGACTGTTTGATGCATCACCACCTTTGTTTACTTTCGACTGTCTGATACACCACTGCCTTTGTTTACTTTCATTTTCCTCGTCCATGACGTGGAACGGAATTCCTACCCTTCCTTAATTGCAGTGACATCAAATAACACACTCTCTGCGAAACCACTGTAAGCCTTAAATTCAAAAACCACATGCCAAGCACTGCACTTGTTCTTTGCTTTTTTTGGGGTGTGTGTGTGTGTGTGTGTCATTTGGAGATTAGATAGATAAAATCAAAGTAGCTCTGTCTATATATATATATAGAGAGAGAGAGAGAGATAGAGAGCACTACTTTGATTTTCTGTTATCTTGCCTTTCCAACTGTTCTTTTTTTTTTTTTTTTTACACAAACTGAAATTTTTCTTCCCAGCAAAACAAGCTCTTCACTGCTTACAGGTTTTTTTTGTTTTTTTTTTGTTTGTTTGTTTTTAATTTAAAAAGACCCAGGGTCTCACCGTGTTGCCCAGGCTACAGTGCAGTGGCTATTCAGAGGCACAATCGTAATGCACCACACTCTTGAACTCCTGGGCTCAAGCAATCCTCCCACCTCAGCACCTTGAGTAGCTGAGACTGCAGGTGTGCACCACCATACTTGGCTATACAGTGCTATTTCTACATTGCAAAAATTACCTGTTTTTTTCCCTGTTTCCCCACCCAATCTTGGCTGCCACAATCGGACAGACAGAAAGCACAAGGATACCGTTTGCTCTCCCCTGTAGTGGAAACCTTAGCAGCAGGCAGTATGCCCCAGGTCTGTCAATTAGATACGTTCCAATTGTCCCCAAGGGTAAGCACTGTGTAATCTATGCACAGTTACAGTTTATATAAATAGGGACAGGAATAGCAGAAATGAATGAAATCTGTGGGATCTAGGGCTTATGAACTATGGGGTTTATGATTAGCTTTTAGAAGTTGTCAGATGATTGCCCCTGAGGAGTCTGCAGAGAAAAGAAAACAGCCCAGATCCCCTCCTGTTCTCCAGCCAGCTCTGTAACCCCAGAAGGGACTGTGTGTGATGAGATTAATGGACTGGGCCTTGGCTCTGGTACCTGATGTCCCCATCTTTCTCTAATGGAGCTGCTGCACATGATTAAATACCTGTATATCAGTATGTTTAAAAGTGTCAGTACTTATGAAATTATAAAACATTTCCTTCCTGATGAAACTGGATTTTAAGAGTAAAGGATCACATCAATGTTTTATTTCCATAGACGGCCCATGTTTGTCTTATACCCCAACAAATGGCTTTATTTTCTGGCTAAAATCCTTTGCTTTCATTTGCGGTGATTTAAAAACACTCAAATCTAACGTGTGATTTAGAGATGTGCTTCTCAAAATGGAATGAGCTTTGGGGGTTCTGTTAAAATGCAGATTCTGGCCGGGCACAGTGGCTCACGCCTGTAATCCCAACATTTTGGGAGGCTGAGGCAGGCGGATCACCCTGAGGTCAGGAATTCCACACCAGCCTGGCCACATGGTGAAACCCCGTCTCTACTAAAAATACAAAAATTAGCCAGGCATGGTGGTGCAAACCTGTAATCCCAGCTACTCGGGAGGCAGGAGAATCTCTTGAACCCAGGAGGTGGAGGTTGCAGTGAGCCAAGATCGCGTCACTGCATTCCAGCCTAGGTGACGGAGTGAGACACTCTCTAAAAAAAAAAAAAAAAAAAAAAAAAATGCAGATTCTTTTCTGCTTCAGCAGGTCTGGGGTGGGGTCTGAGATTGTATTTTTAATCGCCCTCCCAGCTCCCAGGAGATGTGGAAGCTGCAGGCTCTGGACCACATTTTTGGATTGTAGATGTGTAGAGGCTATTTCAGAGTGAATGCATTATCCCATTGAATGATTTTCTTTCCTCCATTCCTTTACATCTTAGGGGAATTTTCGTGGAAGGCCTCTCCTGTGTTCTTGATGGCATATTTGGTACTGGGAATGGCTCTACTTCATCCAGTCCCAACATTGGAGTTTTGGGAATTACAAAGGTACACAGATTTTTCTAATTAAATGATTGGGTTTCTAAGCATTGGTCCATTTCATTGATCGATCTGGCCACTGCAAGTTCCAAATGGGCGGGCCTCTGGTTCTAAAAAATTACTTCTCTCCTTTTTTTTTTTTTTTTTTTTTTTAAGTGTTTATAATGCCTGTTTGGAAGTCTCTCTTCTCTTGCTGGTCCGGGTAGGGAGGCACTCAGTGCTGTCATTCCATCATGCAGTATAGATATTTATAAAGCACTGACTCTGCCAGGCCACTGTTCAAGGCACTTGGGATACATCAGTGAATTAAAAAGTGGAGTTTACATTCTAGCAATCAACAATCAGCATACTAAGTCCATAAATGATGCATTATGTCAGCCAGTGACAAGTACTGGGGGAAACATGGGACAGGAAGCTTGGGGAGAGGGTGATCAGGTGACCTGAACACAGACCTGAAGGGTGGAGGGAGGGAGCCTGCAAATAACCTGGGGGAGAGCGTTCCAGGCCAGGGTGTGGCCAGGGCCGAGCCCTATCCTGGAAGTGGAAGGTCAGCAAGGAGGCCAGTGCGGGTCAGGGAGTCAGAGCAGGTGGGGTCTGCCGGGTAACTGGGGAGCAGGTTACACAGGCAGGCAGGTAGGTAGGCAGCCACAGACTGCCTGAGTGGAAGGGAGTGCTGCAGGGAGCAGCTTGGTCAGATTTTTTTTTTTTTTTTTTTTTTTTTAGGGATCGCTTTGACTGCAGTGATGAGAATAGACCATGGGGGGCTGGGCAAAAGGTAGAAATGGGATCCCAACTGGGAGGTGTCACTAGTTTTAAATTAAGAGATGACCCACCATTGGCCATGGTATGTTGTGAAACTAAGACCATGAAAATTGGTTCACCATCCTCGATGGCCTACGTCTCACAGGTCTCCCTCACTGAGGACTTGGGGTGAGCCCGGAAACCTTCTAGAACTGGTTGACCTCTGTCAAATTGGGAGGGAGGAGTGGATTTCAAAAGAGCTCTCCTTTGCCATGTAAGATTCTATAATCAGATAAAGAGAAACCAGATACTAAGTTTGATTAACCTTGATTGCAAATCCAGGTGAGAGGGAGCTGCCAGGCAGGCACACACATGCCTGGTTTGTTTGTTGGTTTCCCCAGGTTGGCAGGGCCCTGCCAGAGCTCAGCCTGAGGTGTGCCAATGGCCCCATCTGCCTGTTGCTCCCTGTATGGGGGATGTGAGGGAAGGTTGTCTGAGGGGCGCTTCCTCTAGCGCCATCCTGGAGGTCCTTTTGCTACCCATGGTGAGAAGCCAGTGCTGAGCACAGGGAGATGAGGGAAGGATCTCATGGGCACAGAATGGGGCCTAAGCCATGCCACTCTTCAGCCAGTTTGCTGCCATGAGCTTGCAGGCATATAACTAATCCCAAATCTCAAATAAGATAGCCGGCCCTCTGTATCTGTGGGTTCTACCAACTTCAATTCAAAAATATTGTTTCTGAACTAATATTGTTTGTTTCTGTACTGTTCTGGGTGAGCATGTACAAACTTTTTGTTGTCATTATTCTCTGAACAATGCAGTCTGACAACGATTTACAGAGCAATTACATTGTATTAAGGATTGTAAGTAATGTCGAGATGATTTAAAGTATATGGGAGGATATTGGCTGGGTACGGTGGCTCACACCTGTAATCCCAGCAGTTTGGGAGGCCGAGGTGGGCAGATCACCTGAGGTCAGGAGTTCGAGACCAGCCTGGCCAACATGTTGAACCCCTGTCTCCACTAAAAACACAAAAATTAGCCAGGCTTGGTGGCTGGTGCCCATAGTCCCAGCCACTTGGGAAGCTGAGGCAGGAGAGTCACTTGAACCCAGGACGCAGAGGTTGCAGTGAGCTGAGATCATGCCACTGCACTCCAGCCTGGGTGACAGAGCGAGACTCTGACTCCAAAATAAAAAATAAAAAAAAATATATAAATAAAATAAAGTATATTGGAGGATGTGTGTAGGCTACATGCAAATACTACACCATTTTATATCAGGGAGTTAAGCGTCTGTGGTTGTTGGTATCTGAGGCGGGGAGAGTGGCGGTCCTGGAACTAATTCAAGGTTCCCTAGGGACGACTGTAGGAGTAAAATTGTTGTAGATGAAGGGAATCTTAGGGGAAGATGGTGTAACAAGCCTCCTCCTTCTGCACCCCTTTAAAACACATCATCATATAATGTGGCCACCAAGGTAGTTTGGGAAATCATTCCTTTTATTAAAATTTGAATGGTGCTAGCTTACTCTGACAAGTTACCTTGCCAGCACTTTTTAATGAGCTGATGTATCCCAAGTGCCTAGAACAGTAGCCTGGCAGAGCGGGTGCTTCATAAATATCTATATTGCATGAAGGAATGATGGCACCTGAGTGCCTCCCTACCTGGACCAGCAAGGTCCATCATTATCGTTATTATCATTATTGCTATTTACCCCTTAGTTTATTTCTAGGAACAGAGCAAGTACTATCTCGCTGGCCGTCAGATCTCTTTGTTGGTGTCCAGAGGAAGGTCATTTCTCCTTGCTGCATTCTGCACCACCGTTGAAGACTTTGTAAATCCAGAAACCCAGGGTCTATTTTACCAAGGTCCTAGAGGCAGAGCCACAGTTCAGGAGGGAGGTGCCAAGGAGATTCCAGGGAATGGACCCTGTGAGAGGGGAAGCAAAGGTCCTGGGGAAGCACCGGGAAGGCTGGGATTTTAGGGCTCTATCTCTGGTAGTTAGAATAAAACATAATAGGTACTTGGTCAATATTCATTGAACACAAGAATGGCTTAGTTGCTGCATATATTGTTGACAGCATCAAAGGCAGATCAGTCTTCTGGATGTCACTTTGCTACCAGATTTAGTTTCAGGTATCCCTGGGGCCAGTTTGGCCCTTCATACCTAACAGGCCTGCCCGACCCTGCCAGGAGTCTTTGCATAGGCTGTTTCCTCTGCCTGGATGCTCTTCCACTAGCGAACTCTTACTCACCCCTCAGGACCATCTCCAACAACCCTCCCCAACTCTTCAGATTTTCTCTTCCCTGCTGCTGGGCTCCCCCAACAGCAGAACAGCATAGCAGTGAGATTATTTGATCAAGCTTGTGACTTATTCATCTTTGCATTCACCTGTCCCAGTCTAACAAGTCACAAGCTTGATCAAATAATTACATAGTTCCTCGAAAATGTTTGCTGAAGATAGGGCCATTAGTAAATGAAAGCCTTCCTTATTCCATAGTAACAGCCAAGCATGAGTCGCTTTTGCTTGATTTGTCAGTTTGAGTGATCTTTTCCATTGCTTCCCTGCCGTCTGTGGTGTGGGGCAGGCTAGGGACAGTGAGACAGTGACTGAGTCCAGCTGGGCAGCCATCTCTCATGTGCACAGCCTCAGATCAGGCTCTGATGCGTAACTGGCTGACCCTGGTCCTTTGAGGGTTCTGTGCAGTGGTCAACATGTCACACACAGCTGCACCAGCCACGTGTGCCTGGTGGGCACTTGAGATGTGGCCGGTGTACGTGAGGAATTGCGTTTAAAATTTTGTCTCATTTTACTTAATTAAAATTGAAGCAACCCTCTTCTCCTCACTGGGGTCATACATAAATCCTTGTGGATACTCCCCCAAACACTCTGGAACCTCCTTTACCCAGTTTACATCCTTAGGGTGTTTTCCTGCAAGAGGCAGCACAGAGTAGGGGCCCATAGTGCAGGATTCCTGAGCCTGATGCCAGCACCACCTCTCACGTGTGGTGCCGGGAACCCAGGGGATAGGCAGGGGCAAAGTGTGGCCTTTGCGTTGAGACACAGAGGGCCATCCCAACCCATGACTGGTGACAGCAGGCTAGACAGAAGCTGCTGGGAGGCAGAGATCAGGAGTAGCAGATATGCCCTACATGGTGCTATGAGAGCCTATAATGGGGGAATAGTCCTGGAGTTGGGATGCTTTTCAGAGGAGCATTTGGGTGATGTTTAAAAGGATGCATCTAGGATCTGGCTAGGAGGGAACCACAGGGAAGGGTGTCCAGGTAGACAGGCCCAGGCCTGCCTGGTGTGCTTGGAAAGAGCCTGAGAAGTGGGCTTTATTTCATGAGTACCAGAGGATGCAAGCAGGGGACCAGCCTCCCCAATTTCATGTGTTAGAAAGGTGACCCCGTGGCCCCATGGAATGGGTGCAGGAAAGGCCAGTGGCAGCAGGCCCATGTGGGCGGCTCTCAGATGGCTCAGTGCGTGCCAGCTACCATTCAGGCAGTTTTATGCAGGTCCCGTTTAATCCTCAAAACAAAACCACGAGGCTTGTGTGTGACTGAGATGAAGATCCTGAGACTCTAGAGGCTACGGGTCGGCCCGACCATACAGTCAGACGTGGGCCAGGAGAAGAGCCCGCAGTCAGGCTCCAGATGTCCTCATCCGTAGCCCCTTCTCTTTTCCACCTCTCACGGGAAGCGTGCCGTGAGGAGAGGAGGTTCCAGACATGTCTGGGGGTTTGGTCTGATTTCCGGTGTGGGGAAGTTGGCATTGAGGCTGAAGCACTTTGGGGGAAATTGCCTTGGTGACATGTGGTGCCGGGAACCCAGGGGATAGGCAGGGGCAAAGTGTGGCCTTTGCATTTGAGACACAGACGGCCATCCCAACCCATGACTGTGCCAGGGCAGTAGAGCCCTGAGGCCTGAGTGCAGGGAGTGTCACCAAGGCTTGGAGATGCAGAGGGCGGCCCTCAGGGTCCCCACAGTGGAGGTGAGAAGAGTGGGCTGAGGAGGAGGTGAAGGTAGCGAGCCAGGCCATGGGTATCTCTGCTGTGTGTTCTTTAGTAACTTACGGTGATTTTGCATGGAGATGAGTCCCTGTTTCCCAGTCTCCTGTGTGTTCTGCAGGTCGGCAGCCGCCGCGTGATACAGTGCGGAGCAGCCCTCATGCTCGCTCTGGGCATGATCGGGAAGTTCAGCGCCCTCTTTGCGTCCCTTCCGGATCCTGTGCTGGGAGCCCTGTTCTGCACGCTCTTTGGTAAGACTCCCCTCTCTGGCTTTTTCCTTTACTTTTCCAAATTTTTAATAGGGGTCATGGTGTTTTTGCTGACTCCCTTCAGTAAGAAGGTAACGATAAATTTCTATTTTAAAATACAAAGGATATGCCTTCAAAAAATGAAAACTTTTATCACTCTCTGAGTTGAATTTATATTAAATATGGAACCAACAATAAGATGTAATTGTGCTATGAACATTTCAATTAAATTTAATCTCTTTAGTATTTCTGACCAATTTAACTCAAATACCATCCCTCTGAATGGGCTACTTAAAACTGACCATTTTGACAGTGGGACTCTGGGTTTGATCTCTGCACCATTTAGCTGTAATAACCAGAGACATGCACCAGATATTTAGGTAGGTCTCCCTGTTTAATCAAAATGTTTGTGTAGAGAGAGAACCAATGTCCTTAGTTTTCTATTTGACAAACAAAATGCCACATGGTGTTTATGCTCCCGTAGGAGCCCAAATAGCGCGTACGCCGAGGGTCATTTGGCTCAGAGCGCAGGGTGGCTACAGTCTGACCCCACACGTCCCCCTTCCTGTCCCTGCACTGGTCTCATTGGTTTCTGTTGGACAGAGAAGGGGTGCCAGGGAGCCTGCCCTCACCTGCCTTGAGCTGTCCCCGCTGTAGTGGTGCTGGAGCTTGTGGTCTGGTTTGTTTTTCTCCAGGAATGATCACAGCTGTTGGCCTCTCTAACCTGCAGTTCATTGATTTAAATTCTTCCCGGAACCTCTTTGTGCTTGGATTTTCGATCTTCTTTGGGCTCGTCCTTCCAAGTTACCTCAGACAGAACCCTCTGGTCACAGGTGAGGAAATGGGCTTTACATCTTGGAGTGGGAGCTGGAACCACAGCCGCCAGTCCACACGCAGCTCTTTGCCCATTGGAGAGGACTTTGGGCCTCCAGGAGCTGTGGTGCAGATGCGTCTGTGGATCTCTCTTGAATCTCACTTTTCAATACTTACCTGGAAGCGCTGTGGGCTTCCTGCTGGCGTGTACACATAACAGTCATGGATGCTAAGGTCTCTTTTTCACTGGGACCCTCTCCTTTGGGAGAATGCCTCTCTCTAAATGCTTTTGATTTCATTAGTCTATCTTAATAGACTAATGCTCCATTAAGATAATTTTTTTTTGAAACTCAACTTCATAGACTTTGAACACGTTATTCTACTATTTGATGTCTATCCTATTAACTCCTCAGAGCAAAATCACGTGGCTTGTGCATTCAAGATTAACCTTTTTAACTCCTCCTTTTGTTTTAACACTGCAATGTCCTGAGGAATGTAGAAAGGAAGAACCGTCTCAAGACATAGCCATTGCTACTGGTAATATCTTAGCCAGTGCAGAATTGAGGAGTGTTTGTTTATACATATATTTTTTGTGGGTGAAATTCACATAACAAAATTAACTACTTTAAGCAGTTCAATGGCATCTAGTACAGTGTTGTGCAGCCATCACCTCTGTCCAGTTTCCAAAACATTTCATTACCCCAAAATAAAACCCCAAACTCATTAAGCAGTAAATCCCCATCACCGCCTGCTCCCACCCGCTGGCAGCCACCGGTGTGCTTTCTGTTTCTATGGATTCACGGTCTATTCTAGGTATAAATAGAGTCATAATATGTGGCTTTTTGTATCTGGCTTCCTTCACTTAGCATGTTTTCAAGATTCATCCATGTTGTAGCATGTAGCAGTACTTCATTCCTTTTTTTGAGATGGAGTCTTGCTTTGTCGCTCAGGCTGGAGTGCAGGCCTGGGCATGATCTCAGCTCACTGCAACCTCCGCCTCCTGGGTTCAAGCGATTCTCCTGCCTCAGCCTCCCAAGTAGCTGGGATAATAGGCACCCACCACCACACCCGGTCAATTTTTGTATTTTTAGTAGAGACGGGGTTTCACCATGTTGGCCAGGCTAGTCTTGAACTCCTGACCTCAAGTGATCCACCTGCATTGGCCTCCCAAAGTGTTGGGATTACAGGCGTGAGCCACTGTGCCCAGCCTCATTCCTTTTTTATGACTAGATAATGTTCCTTTGTGTGTATATACCATAAATTGTTTATCGATTCATCCATTGATGGACATTTGGGTTGTTTCCGCCCTTTGGCTATTGTGAATATTGATGTGCAAGTACAATCAGTTCTCATTATTCATGAAGTTATGTTTCGTAGAGTTGCCACAAGCAGTATTAGCAAATACTGAACCATTGCTGGGGAAAGACAGTCAGCAATGCCACAGCTCATGCCTGGATGGATCTTCTTTAACACACACCATAGCCGCCTTATGTGTAGAAACGTCAGGGAGCACTTCACACCACTTGGACATTTTAAACAGTGAGATCACCAACGGAAAGCACACGGTATGACAGACATGGCACTACATAGTCCGCAAAAAGGACTCTTGTTTACAGGATGAGGCCAGAACAAGGCAGAGCGTCAGCTTATTTGACATCAGTCAGGAATGTATGTGGCGTGGCTCAGATTTTTCACTGCTCTGTATACCCATGAAGGCACCAAGGGTATTCATTTTGGGTTTACAAATACATTTTAGTGTATGGGCAATTTCACAAACACGTAATTCATGAATAATCAATGTGGGCCATATTTGAGTACTTGTTTTCATTTCTCCTGGGTATATACCTAAGAGTGGAATAATTGGGTCATGTGGTAATTCTATTTTTAACCTTTTGAGGAACTGCCAAACTTTTTCATGGCGGCTGCACCATTTTACTATCCCATTAGCCATGTACGAGGGTTTCTGTTTCTCCACATCCTCACCAGTGCCTATGATTTTCTGTTGAGGATTATTCTATCTTCCGGATGGAAAGTGTGTGGATAAATGAGATTCTTGCTGTTTTTTACATTTAATATGTCATATTCATGGGAGGACATCTTTATAAATCCAGTTGCCCCTGATTAAAAGCAGCTAAGCACTAATTGATAACCCAGGATACTGAAAAGTCTTCTATGACTGCAGGTGCCAGAAATATTTTTGTCATCTTATTATTCACTTTGTAATTTTTTCTCAGCCTTATGACTACCATTTTTTTTTATTTAGAATTTTTTTTATCCACCGACTACACCCCTGTGGCTTCACAGTTCGTTGTAGGGTGAACACCACTCTTAGATTCATCTTCTATGCACCACTGTTGGGAATTCTCCTTATGGAGATACCTTTGGATTATTGTTGAAAGTATTCATCGTAGTTTAAAACATTACTGGCAAAAATTCATCTACATGTGCACAACTAAGAAATGTACACTTTCCTTTCCTGCTTTGATTGGCGGAGTTCTGCCCACACCATTGCCCCTTCCCAAGTCAAGGGCAGGCTCACCGCTGCTGTGGCACTGATCGTTTATGGCTGTGTTCTCTTTCTAGGGATAACAGGAATCGATCAAGTGTTGAACGTCCTTCTCACAACTGCTATGTTTGTAGGGGGCTGTGTGGCTTTTATCCTGGATAACACCATCCCAGGTACGTGGTATATATCAAACACACTTTTTTTTTTTTTATTTTTTAACATATGTGTTACTTTTTTTGCCAAATAGAAATGGAAAACGGGAAGAGTAAATGAGTTCAAAGCCATCACTGGTTATAACTGTTTTCTAAAACAGTTGTGATGGCACTCCCAGCCTCCATGTATGAATCAGTTTTTTGCTACATAAACTGATTAATTTTGTTTCTCGTGCTGAAGGACTTTTGGGAGACAGCAGCTGAGTTCGCTGCGTTTGGTGAGATGGCAGTGGGATGGGCACAGGCCAGGCTCCTGTCCCCCTGCACAGCCTGTGCCAAAGGCCCTGCAGTGTGGGTTTCATCTGATCTGAGAGAGGTGGGCACAGCCCGTGGCACTTCTGCTTGGGGAGACTGTCCCTTAAATGAGTTGTTCCTAAGGTGGGCTTCCAGCCAACTAAGACCAGAAGGCAGTAGAAGACCATGGGCAAAGGCTGAGATCAGGGGTCCAGGATCATTGACAAGAGATGCCTGGAGGCAGCTGCCTCTCCAATACCCATGATCCCTGTTTATGGATACATTCTGTGCTGAGCTTGGGATGACAGACTAGGATGTTATGTGGGTCCTGCCTTGGCGGTGGCTGCTGTGGGCCACTGTAAAGTGCTGCCATGGACATACTGGCAGATTTCCCTGCCTTCAAGGAAGGGTGATACTTATTCTTAGGCTCAAAGGTTTTGTTGAGATTTTCCCCTTTAAACAACCCATCTCCAAAAAAAATAAAAAACCTCAATCAAGAGATTGCTGGGGAAACCAAGGCAGAAGGAATCACACACACAAATAGATGGAAGGCACTGGATTTAAGAGTCCATAACGACTACTCTCTTTCTCTCCTAAGCCAGAGGGAATTGAGAGAGGGATGCAACAGTCAGGCTGATGGAAATTAAAGTCAGCTTTATTTCTGAAATACTGATGAGAGAGCAGAGCTTAGATATAAAAAAAAGTCATGAGCTTCCTTGCTGAGCCCTGTGTGCTCAGAGCTTCCTCCCTGACCCATCTGTCAGGGTGCAGAGTGGCCAGGAGTGTCCAACCGGTGGATGTTCATCCCCGCAGAAGCACAACAGGTACATGACCTGTGTGTCCCCCATAGCACCAGACACGCTAAAATGGAGCAAAGCAGCATGAAGTGTGGGTCTGTCTAGATGGGGGGGTGAATGTGCAGTGACTGGTTGATGAAGGCATTGTGTGATACAATAAAGATTCAGCCCTGTTTTGCAAACTCAGATTTGCATTTTAAAGAGGTTTTTTTTTGACTCAGATTTACATTTTACAGAGTTTGTTTTGTGTGTTTTGTTGTTTGTTTTGTTTTGTTTTGTTTTGTTTTTAAGACAGAGTCTTGCTCTGTTGCCCAGGCTAGAGTGCAATGGCATGATCTCAGCTCACTGCAGTCTCTGCCTCTCGGGTTCAAGCAATTCTCCTGTCTCAGCCTCCTGAGTAGTTAAGATTACAGGCATGCACCACCACGCCCAGCTAATTTTTGTATTTTGAGTGGGGACGGGATTTCACCATGTTGGCTAGGCTGGTCTCGAACTCCTGACTTCATGTGATCCTCTCACCTCGGCCTCCCAAAGTGCTTGGATTACAGGTGTGAGCCACCACACCTGGCCTAGAGAGGTAGTTTTTGAGCAGACCTGGGGCAGGAGGTGATGAGCCAGAAGACTAGGTAACCAGATGGGAGACCGATAGAATGAACCAGGAAAGCAATAACATGGCCTGAGCTGGGCCCTAACAGTGAAAATTGAGAATATGGGTCACATAGAAGGATAGGGAGGTCAGAAGGTCATTAGGTGATTGCTTGAATGAGGACATGGAGGGGTTAGTGCTTCTTAGACTTCTGGTTTGGGCACTGGATAGCTGAGCACCTTCACCTCCTCAAGTATTCTTTGCTGTTATCTAGGCAGGTTTGATCTGTGGGACCATGTGTGTGTGTGTGTGTGTGTGTGTGTGTGTGTGTGTGTGTGTGTGTGTGTGTATGTGTTTGACGACAGTTTCATTTTCAGTAGAGCTGCTAAACGAAGCATTCCTTTGTTCTATCTTGGGATGTGTGACAGGCACTCCAGAGGAAAGAGGAATCCGGAAATGGAAGAAGGGTGTGGGCAAAGGGAACAAATCACTCGACGGCATGGAGTCGTACAATTTGCCATTTGGCATGAACATTATAAAAAAATACAGATGCTTCAGCTACTTACCCATCAGCCCAACCTTTGTGGGCTACACATGGAAAGGCCTCAGGAAGAGCGACAACAGCCGGAGTTCAGATGAAGACTCCCAGGCCACGGGATAGCCTTTGCTGTGCCCTGTGGCCTGGCCGCAGTGAGGCATGTATCTGTAGTTCCTTGCTGAGTAACAAGAAGTAAAATACATGTTTGTATATCTACATTTACATTCTGCGCCCCAGAGCTAAGACAGACTGCGAATCACTTTTCTGCTGTGAGGGTGATGGTGCCTGATGCGGTGTCTCGCCTATCTCCTTATTTAAGCCCTTAACTCCTTGCCCTTTGAGAGTGTCCATTGCTGGCCATGGTCACTAAATTTGAAGTTCCAGTCCTCCCTTTGGAGTGGACATTTAAAATCTGCAGCCATTCCTTGCTTCAGTTCCCTTCCACCACCCAGGGCTGGCTTTCCTATAAGCCACCTCCAGGGTCCAGGGGCTTTCTCTCTCTCTCCGAAGCCCCTGGACCTGTTTCCTTGTCATTTGACCCTCGTCTGTGCCCGCGGAGACCTCCTCTGACCAAGGGGCACTAGTATGCCTTGCGCTATCATGACTGACTGGCCCAGTATGATTCTGTTGTCGCTGATCTCCCGGAGGAGGAGGCTGTTGACCTGAAAACAGTGGCGTGGCTCCCCTGTGCCCAGATCTGGCCATGGGTGAGGCCTGCACAGATGTTGAATGAACATCTGTTTGGGGCATTGGAGGGAAAAGGAAAGGACCCTGAAGCCAATATCTGATTCTCGGCTGCACCTTCTCTTGGCCACCCTGGCCCTGACCGGGCCAGCACGTGCACACTGGCCTCTTTTCATTTCACTAGTGGCCGAGACACCCTCTCTGGCATTTATCACTGTTGGCCGGTGTGATGAGTATAGAGTGCCACCCAAGGCACCAGTCACACAAGCTGATGGGCGTCTTGGCTCTGCCGTCATGTGGATGTTATTGTCGCGCGCGTCTATAATTACAAGGTTTTATTCCTATTTAATGTTATTGACTATAGCAGATTTTGGAAATCAGTGTTTTCCATGTGACCCTCTTTCCTTGCATCCCTATTCCTTGTCCCCCACCCACTCTTCCCCCCATCAAGAAAAGAACCAGCATTTGTAAAGCTGTGGACACCATCAGGGAAGCTTGTTGTAACGGCTTTTGAAGGCCAGTAACCATTGTTGTGGTTGTGTTTTGTATTGCTTGATACCATGAAAGTGTAAATACTGTAATGCCTAATCTATTTATCAAAACTGACTACTGGACCGGAGCCCAGAAACCATGGGTCAAGTTACACGTGAATTTGTTTTGTGAAGAAGGGAAGCTGGGGCAGGTAACACGCAGAGCCGCCACGTGGAACGGTCTGTCCGCCGGTCTGTCCCGCTTGCCGGGCTTCTGTTGCAAGTCTTGGCTTAAGGAGACTTCCTGTGGGTTGCCATGTCGCACGTCCGTTAGATCTTGATTTTACAGGTGAGGGTGGTTGCCAAAGGTGATAAGAAAAGCAGCCAACAGGCTCCCTCTCACTTAAGAGAGTTCTAATTAATAACACTAAATTCTTCCTGAGAAATGACTCCTCTTGGTTTGGTTTGAAGTTTTTCAGTGAAGGAAAAGGCCTGAGATAGGAAGCAGTGCCCTCGCTTCATGAGGTGGCACATCTTCGGTGGCCGTTGGCCTGGTCGAGCTTTGGTCAGCTGCGTGGGTGCCTGTCTCCTGTCTCCAGCGGCAGGGCATGGTTCTTGGCAGCCTGGTGTCCACACGGTGCATTCCTGTCCCCCTCGGCCCCAGGCTGGCTCAGCTCTCCAGTGCTGCGGCGCTGTCTTTGCAGCATTGCCATGTCACCGTAGCCCCCTTCACTCTTGGAAGTTTGGGGCTTCAAGGTTTATTCTGGCAAGAACACCTCGGAGCCACTGCATTGTTTTGCCAAAAACTTACTGCAGATTAAGTAAAGAACTTAGATGCTAAATTACATCTAATTTTGTATGTTTTTTTAAATGTGTCTTTGATGCATACTTTAGAAGCACACTGGCTCGCGGTTTCCATCCCTCTTGCCTTGGGACACTCTTGAGGCTGGCAGCCCTCCTGCAATGAGTTGCTCTCAGTTCCTTCTGTTTGGATTTTGCTCAACATCTCCAGTTTCTCTGCTCTGAAAAATGGGGAAAACTGCTAAACATCCCAGAGATTTGCAATCTTCTAGCTCTCCAGGTGAGCAGAAAGACCAAATATCCAAATAAAAGCCTGAAAGCCATTGGTGATCCAGGGGCACCTTCTCTTCAGCTTGACTGGGCGTCTTCCGCTGCATAACACTCAAGGTGTCTGCTCTAGTCATCCAGAAACCCACTCCCTTCTGAAGCCCCTCCTTGGGCCGGGTTGTATCAGGAGGATTCAACCCCGCTAACATGTGGGGTGCCCTCTGTAGGCCTTCACACAGGGAAGGAAGCCCTACCCTTTCAACTCCTGTTGGAGTGAGAGTTTCCTGTTCTGATTCCACTGTGGCCAACCCAATAATTCTGTCCGAGGAGGGGTAAGGGAATAGGAGGTGGGGAGCAAAGAGGGCAGCCTGACTAGATGCCCCTGCTGAATCTGGTACTTTCTGCACAGCCTTGAGTGATTGGAGTCCCCTAATGACTAATAAACTTGAACATGTAACACACACACACACACACACACACACCATTTTAGGAAGTGGTTCTCCTACTGGAAAATATGCTACAGAATGAAAGTTTGTAATTGAAAGAAAAAGAATGTATTCATCTGCTTCTTGGGTTTAAGCACACACCTGAAGGGGAGATATTGGGGGACACGGTGGCCACTCGCGGTCTGTGTCATGACACTTCCCATTCACATCATTGGCCTGCGTTGCTGGGGCTTTGAACCACCACCCCGTACTTTGTTTTGCCTGTAGAGTGTTGTAAAATATTTTGGATGTGAATGTCCTTGCAGGCCGGTTAGTCTCCAGTTTCCACAGAGACCACCTACCCACCACCTTCCCAGGTCACCTGCCTGGTCCCTGAAAGAAAGCATTTGTGTGGGCAATCCCAACATGAAATGTAGACAGCGTGAATACGGACAGGAGGTGATGCCATATTCACAGTGGGGGATGGAGGGCCCCCACCCCTGCTTCACAGAATAATGGGAAGTGACTCTAGTCTTTGTAAGCAATTTTCATTCTCATTAGGAAGTTAAATGTAGATTCACAGATACATTTACTTTCAGAATCCTCAAGAGGATTTCAAATGCTAACTTTTAGTTTCTTGGGATTGATCAAGGCAAGAGAAGTGGCTTTAACCATGCCAGCCAGAATGAAGCATCATGGGTCCTGATGGTTTCCCGTTTTCATGGTAACAAATTCGCACAGAGGTTTTGCTTTATGCTGTAGAATACCGACTTTCATGATGACAACTTGGTTTATGCATGAATATTGCAGTATTTCCATATAGCAAAATAACATTTCTACCCAGGATAATAGTCACAGTTTTCCAGGGAGGGAATGATATAATTTTCATGACAATGTCATGTGATGATAGAATTTCTCCATTGATGAATCTCTAGTATGTGTGTATACTTTATTTACCCATACGTATATTTTATGACCATGAGCTAAGTTGTTATTTCTTTCATTCATATCCCTGCTGAAATATTGGTACTAGCAACTTAAAGTTGGCAAGTCTCATCTTCAGTAATACGGATGCCATGGGAGTGGCCAGGCCAGATTGAAGGTGAATATGGAGCAGTAGCAGAAGCCTCATTCCAGAACCCATCTGGCCAGAGAAGCAGCAGCATCCTGGGGGATGGCCGTGCATGGGGTGTACACTCGCTATAGGCATAGGCCCGGCATGGCTGTCGCTGGACGCCAGCTGTGCACACCCAGCCACACCTGCTGCACGCCGCGTTAGTGTGCGGCTCCGGGCCTGAGCATTCGCAAAGCTCGCTTCTCCAGGGAGCCTCCTCTTGGCTTTGGAAAAGAGCCCAGGGACTTAACGTGCTGCCTGTTGTACTCTGTCCCCTCATGACTTTTTAGACACAGGGACTAGGACATCGACCACCCTCTGCCCCTCCTGCAGTCAGAACCCGAGTAGTGCAAGAACGGCCACCCGGTTTTGCCAGCGTTCAGCGTCTGCCCATGGACCCATAAGGCACATTAGCGTTGGGGGTCTCTTTTCAGCAGCCTCACAGACATTCCCGTCCTTTCTGGTTGGTGTTGACTGTGTTTCAGCATCACTCTACCCTCCCATGTCCTTAGCATTGCTGTGCGTGTTTCCAGGCACTTAGGACACCCTTCCCCACGTTGCCATCTTACTGACAGTTCAAATGACTCTCCTTTTTTGTTCGTTAGTAACAATCTTCATTTGACACCTTAATACATTTCTGACTGTTCTTAAAACAGTGGGGATGCCTATATTTTCCTTGAGTTTTTGTGACTGACTTTGGCTATATATACCTTTCTGGGGTTTTGTTTGTTTTTTATTTTTATTTTGATTACCGAGGGTATTTGGGGTGGGGTTGTTTTTTGAGATGTGTAATTCTTTTATGGAGTTTTTAAAAAGAATTTTCATATTGTTTTTCTAACATGGCTTCATTAAACGTTTAAGTATTTTAAAAATATGTAATATTTGGACCAGATGTTGTGAATAATAGTAGAGATAAAGCTATTTTATTCTGTATTTTTAAAACTGTTCCGTACAAATAAAAGCTCTCCTGGACACAGTTTTGCTCTTCACGTGCCTCCTTCTTGGGCTACTCTTTAAGAAAAGAGTCATCCCTCAGAATCTGTAGGGGATTGGTTCCAAGACCTCCTCGGATACCAAAATCCGAGACTACTCAAGTCCCTGATATAAAATGGCATAGTGGGTCAGGCACAGCGGCTCACCCATGTAATCTCAGCACTTTGAGAGGCCAAGGCGGGAGAATTGCTTGAGGCCAGGAGTTCGAGACCAGCCTAGGCAACATAGTGAAACCCGCCCCCCCCGCCCCGCCCCTTCACTAAAAAAAATTAGGCACACATGGTGGTGAACGCCTGTGGTCCCAGCTACTTAGGAGGCTGAGGTGGGAGGATTGCTTGAGCCCAGGAGTTCAAGACTGCGGTGAGCCGTGTTCGCACCACTGGACCCCAGGCGAGGTGACAGAGTAAGACTGTCTCAAAAACATAAAATGGTGTTGTGGATTTTGGTGTAGTGTATGTGTACATGGATATGGTGTAGTGTATAGATTTGGATATAATCTATGCATATCTTCCTGTATTCTTTAAATCATCTCTAGAGGACTTATAATATCAAATACAATATAAAGGCTATGTAATACTTGTTACACTGTATTGTTTCTATATTTGCATTTTTATTGTGTTGTTTTTATTGTTTTTTATTTTCAATCCTCGGTTGAATCCAAGGATACAGAAGCCTCAGGTACAGAAAGCCGATGGTAATTAATTAAAAGTTGTCACCTAGGGGAGGAAATCAACGGATAAGAAATTCAATTCAACAAGTTCATGAGCGTTATCATTGTCAGGTGCCTGGCAGACTGATCAATGAAAGCTACAGGAAAGGGACAATCAGTCCTCGTTCCCAGAGAACCAGAGATTGGGCAGGACTCTTGCGAGGATGTGGAAGGAGGAAGTAAAGTCTCAGAGGCCTCAAAAAGTTAGAGAGTGCACCCATGTTGGACTTAGGGGGTGAAATTCTGAGTCTGTTATTACAGTAACACATCTGGAGGTGGAAGACATTTTGGGAGTGGTGACCAGAGAGGGTCTCACCAGCCATGCCCACTTTCAGGCTGAGTATTCAGACTGGGTCAGGAAATGCTGAGCTGTGGGGGACTGAGAGCAGCTCCATTCTGTCCTCAGCGTGGCTCCCTGGTGGGGTATAATGATGGGTCCAGAGGTGATTAGATGTGTTTTTTCACTTAGGGCAAGCTTGTCCAACCCACGGCCCACAGGCCACATGCGACCCAGGATGGCTTTGAAAGCTGCCCAACACAAATTCTTAAACTTTCTTAAAACATTGAGATTTTTTGTGATTTTTTTTTTTTCTTGAGACGGAGTTTTGCTCTTGTTGCCCAGGCTGGAGTGCAATTGCACAATCTTGTCTCACTGCAATCTCCGCCTCCCAGGTTCAAGCAATTCTCCTGCCTCAGCCTCCCAAGTAGGTGGGATTACAGGCATGCACCACCATGCCCGGCTAATTTTTTGTATTTAGTAGAGATGGAGTTTCACCGTGTTGGTCAGGCTGGTTTCAAACTCCTGACCTCAGGTGATTCACCCGCCTCAGCCTCCCAAAGTGCTGGGATTACAGGCGTAAGCTAACAAGCCTGGCCGATTTTTTTTTTTTTTTTGGCTCATCAGCTGATGTTAGTGTATTTCATGTGAGGCCCAAGACAGTATTCCAGTGTGGCCTAGGGAAGCCAAAAGATTGGACACCCCAGGTTTAGGGCAAACCTAGAACTACCCCATTCCCATCTCAACCCGTGGTTCTTCTCTGGCCCATTGAGCTATGACTGTCCACTGCAGCCGCTCCTGTAAGACCTGCAGCCAGCTGCCACCATTCCCAATATCCTGACCTATGAACCGCTGCTGGCGAGTTCATCACAAGGGGGATTATTTTACCTGAAGTTAGGTACATGCAAAAGATTTTGTAAGGTATTTAAAAAGTAAGGAGTACCCATGTTTCCACCCCCGGCTCCGACCACAGCATATTAACAGTGCTTCAGGCCAGGCGCGGTGGCTCAACGCCTGTAATCCGAGCACTTTGGGAGGCCGAGGCGGGTGCATCACGAGGTCAGGAGATCGAGACCATCCTGGCTAACACGGTGAAACACCATCTCTACTAAAAATACAAAAAATTAGCCGGGCGTGGTGGCGGGCGCCTGTAGTCCCAGCTACTCGGGAGGCTGAGGCAGGAGAATGGCGTGAACCCAGGAGGCAGAGCTTGCAGTGAGCCGAGATCGTGCCACTGCACTCCAGCCTGGGCTACAGATCGAGACTCCTTCTCAAAACAAACAAACAAACAAACAGTGCTTCAGACACCCCACCCCTCGGGACCCTTCTCCTACTGCATCTTCATCCCCATCAAGAGAGCTGCTACCCTAAATTTTGAATTTATCCTGTCCTTGCCTTCACAATTTTGCCACATAACAGCACCCCCAAGTAATCTATTAAGTTTTGCATGGTTTTGAACATGATGTAAAAGGAATGAGATACATGTTGTCATGCTTTATTCAGTGTTATGAGATACTTTTATGTTGATACATCTCTTTAATGTAGTGCATTTCATTTTCATTACTGGGTAGTAAAATTTAAGATGAACGAAGACAACATTCTGAAAGCTTCCAGAGAGAATGAACAGAATCAAAACCTCAAGAGCTCTGATCCAATAAGCCTTGGATTTTTCAGCAGCATTTTTTAAGAACTGAAGGAAAAGAACTTTGAACTTAGAATGTTATGTCTAGCCACTTGAATGCCCACATTTTAATATTTTTGGGTAAAATACTTCAACAAACCTAGGAAGTGCTGTAGGAGATAACTGAAGGGAAGATGAGCAAGAAATATTTGGTAAGCCTGGTCACTGGAAATAAGCCAGGACCACAGGAAAGAAAAAAGAAATATCCATAATATTACAGTGTAATTGGAGGCCCTATCACTGTGGTGTTGGAAAGAGGACATATAGATGTGAGTTCTAGAAACAGGCCTAAATATACCAATAACAATAAATGAACCAAACTCATTAGTTAAATGATTGTCAGATTAAATGTCAAACCAAAATCCTGATATGTCCTTTTTATAACACTGGTGTTCCAAAGTGTGGTCTTGGACTGTTAAAGACTGCCATAATATATGTTCAGAAATTGAGTCTTAGCAACTTTATAAAAGTTTCTAAGCAATTTGACAGTCATTTTATGTGTGCTGACTGTAATACTAAAATACCTGGGCTTATTTTTTGCTTTTTTTTTTTTTTTTTTTTTTTTTTGAGATAGGTTCTTATTCCATTGCCTAGGCTGGAGTGCAGTGGCGCAATCTCAGCTCACTGCAGCCTTGACCTGGGCTCTCGTGATCCTCTCACCTCAGTCTCCCTGGTAGCTGGGATTACAGGCACATGCCACCATGCCTGGCTACTTTTTTTTTTTTTTTTTTTTTTTTTTTTTTTTGGGTAGAGATAGGGTTTCTCCATGTTGCCCAGGCTGGTCTTGAACTCCTTAGCCCAAGCGATCTGTCCACTTCAGCCTCCCAAAGTGCTGAGATTACAGACATGAGCAACCATGCCCAACATTATCTTTAATTCCATGGTTTATTTTTAAAAATATTTTACAAAAGTCTGTGATAAGTCAGGAAAAGCAAAAAACAACTGATCTCTACAAAAAATTGAAAAAGTAGCTGGGCATGGTGGTGCATGCCTGTGGTCCCAGCTATTCGGGAGGCTGAGGTGGGAGGATCACCTGAGTCTGGGAGGTTGAGGCTGCATTGAGCCAAGATCCCGCCGCTACAGTCCAGCCTGGGTGACAAAGAAAGACCCTGTCCTAAAAAAATAAATAAATAAACACATACTTCCCGTTGTGTTACAATTGCCTACAGCAGCGGTACCCAACCTTTTTGGCACCAGGGACCGGTTTCGTGGAAGACAATTTTTTCCATGGATTTGCGGGGTGGGAGGATGGATGGTTTCAGGATGAAACTGCTCCACCTCAGATCATCAGACATTAGTCAGATTCTCATAAGGAGCCACAGCCTAGATCCCTCGCACACGCAGTTCACAATAGGGTTCATGCTCCTATGTACTCTATGCTCTAATGTACTGCTGATCTGACAGGGGGCGGAGCTCAGGCAGTAATGCTCCCTCCCTCGCCTGCCACTCACCTCCTGTTATGTGGCCCAGTCCTAACAGGCCATGGGCTGGTACCAGTCTGCGGCCCAGGGGTTGGGGACCCCTGGCCGGCAGTATTCATTACAGTAACATGCTGTGTAGGTCTGTAGCCTAGGTGTGTAATAGGGTATACTATCTAGGTTTGTGTAAGAACACTATGATGTTCACTCAACAAAATCGTCTAACAACACATTTCTCAAAACGTATCCCTGTTGTTAGTCAACACATGCCTGTATTTGCTGATACAGGTTGAGTATCCCTAATCCAAAAATTCAAAACCTGAAATGCTCCGAAGTCTGAAACATTTTGAGCACTGATGACATGCTCAAAGCATGAGCACGAGAGACCATTGAGACCAAGCATATCAGATTTGGGATTTCAGATTTTCAGATTAGGGATGCTCAGCCAGTAAGTACAATGCAAATATTCCAAAATCTGAAAAAAAAATCCAAAATCCAAAACACTTCTGGTCCCACGCATTTTAAATAAAGGATACTCAATCTGTATCACAAGTTAAGAAATAGGAAACCCTCTGTGCTTCTCTAAAACTAATATGAAAACTTGTACTTCCTCAGATTGTGCTTGACGTTAAAATAACATTTGCAGCCAAATATATCTCAGTATAAATATGAGAGTGTTGAAGCCACCTCATATGTATTGCCACCTTTTGTCCAGGATGGGAGAGGTTTTGCCTAACAAATGACATGATTTAGTAGACAAAGTCTTCCAGAACCTTCCATCCTTGGGAAAAATAAAACCAGACTTGGAACCACAGGTTCAGACTGAAGGAATGACTCAGATAGTGGGATTTAGGCATCTGCTTTGAGCTGTACCCCGAAGTCTACAATGACCACCCCCACACCTACCCCAACCTACACACATACCAAGGCAGCCCTTGCCTTAACTGGACCAGTGTTGTCTCCAGACACATCCCCCAGCAGAACGACAAGAAGACTCTTCCTCCATTGCCGCTCCAACCTTCCAACCCCTTTGAGGCACTGTGAGCCTCAAAATCCCAATTCGTATCACTTATAAATAGAAGCATACTACACTGCCACTTGCTTTTTTCACTTGACAATATGGTGGGGGCATTTCTGCCAATGGGAAGATACAGATTTCATATTTTATGCATCAAGATACAATTTAACATAACCAAGATCTTATGCACATGGACTCCTTTTTAGTGCAGTTTTTTTTCATCTCTTCTGTTTGCTTCTCCTCTGCCATCCCCCTCTCCTTCTGCCCATCCTCCTGCCTTGCTCCATGTGAGCAATGGGCTTGGTATCATTCACACATTTCTCTATGCTCATAACCCTGTCAACATCTAGCTAGCTAGCTATTCTACATGTACGCACACATATACACCACACATATATTCCTTCATGTTTTGTCATTGCTCTCATACACACTTTTCTGCATCTTGCATTGTTTACTGAGCAATATCTTGTGGAAATCCCTACAATTTAGCTGGTCCCACTCTAATTAATTTTCCTGATGATTTCACGTATTCCTTGCTGTAGATCCACCGTAGCTTATTCAAAGTTGAGAGATACTCATATTCCTAGTTTTTAGCCGTCACATATAGCTATAACAAACATTGTTTTATCTAGGTTTAAACAAATGATAAAATACATTCCCAGGAGTAGTATTGCTGGGCTAAATAGTACGGGTATTTTTCATTTTCCTTTTTTTTTTTTTTTTTTTTTTGAGACGGAATCTTGCTCTGTCGCCCAGGTTGGAGTGCAATGGCGCAATCTTGGCTCACTGCAACCTCCGCCTCCCTGACTCAAGCAATTCTCCTGCCTCAGCCTCCCGAGTAGCTGGGATTACAGGCACACACCACCGCGCCCAGCTGATTTTTGTGTATTTAATAGAGACAGGGTTTCACCATGTTGGCCAGGCTGGTCTTGAACTCCTGACCTCAGGTGATCTGCCCGCCTCGGCCTCCCAAAGTGCTGGGATTATAGGGGTGAGCCACCACGCCAGGCCGGGTATTTTAAATTTTAAGGGATGTCGTTACCAGATTGCCTTCCAAAAAACTATAATAATTTACATTTCCACCAGAAAGTATGAAAGTACCTTACCCGATTCCGCACTCCTTCATCTCTGTCAATAATGCTGTTACGTTTTAAATTTTGTCAGTCTAATAAATACATTTCATGGTACCTTAAGTGGTATTTCCTTGAAGTTGTGTTTCCTTGATCGCGAATGTGTTCAAGTAGTTCTTTTCTATTTCTCAGCCATTTCGATTTGCCCTTCTATGGATTTTCTATTCATATTCTTTATCATTTTTCTTTTTCTTTTTTTTCTTCAACTTTTATTTTAAGTTCGGGGTACATGTGCATGATGTGCAGATTTGTTACACAGGTAAACATGTGCCATGGTGATTTGCTGCACAGGTCATCTGCCATTTGTCTTTTAGGTTATCTTTTGTTTTGTGAGAGTTATTTTTTGTGTATTATGGGTATTTAACTCTTAATCTGTATTGCAAATATTTCTTTCCCAAATTTATTTGCCTATTGCTATTTCTTGGCAAGAGATAATTAAAGTCTACACACAAATAAATTTGGGAAAAAATATTTGCAATACAGATAAAGATTTGAATATCCATAATACATAAAAAGCTTTTATAAATGCTTAGTTAACTATCTGGATCTGCAGAGCAAGTGGGTTTCCTGTTTTCTTTTAGATAATTTCTCCATCCCTAGGTTGTATGTGTGGTCCGATACTTCATTCTTGATTTTTATCATTTAATATTTTACATTTAAGTGTTTTATGCTTCTGGAATTTATATTTATGATTGGTTCTTCCACTGATCTATCTGTCTCTGTTACAATAAGGCAAATCCATATTGGAATCTCGGCAAATAGTCCTCAACCTCCCAGGCTCGGGTGATCCTCCCGCTTCAGCTTCCCTGTTACTGGGACTGCAGGCATGCACCACCACATCCGGCTAATTTTTGTATCTTTTGTAAAGATGGGGTTTCACCATATTGCCCAGGCTGGTCTCAAACTCTTGGGCTCAAGCAATCCGCCTGCCTCGACCTCCCAAAGTGCTAGGATTACAGGCGTGAGCCATCACGTGTGGCATAACTCCTAAATTTTGCAGAGATAAGTTAATACTCTTCATTTCAGCTGATTATTTGAATTTCTCTTGTATTCTTTCTTCTAGCTATAAATTCTTACTGTGTGCTTATACTACACAATTTTATACAGTGTATTAGCCTGTTAGATTTCACTATGTGTTTTGAAAGGTCTATTGCTCACCACTGTTTCCTCTTTTCTTTACTCTGTCTCAACTTGATATCTCTGTTTTGAGTCATTTGGTTTTTTTTCCCCCTCCCCCCCTCCCCTCCCCCCTCCCCTCCCCTCCCCTCCCCTCCCCTCCCCTTCCTTCCTTCCTTCCTTCCTTCCTTCCTTCCTTCCTTCCTTCGTTCCCTCCTTCCTTTTCTTGAGACAGGCCTTGCTCTGTCACCCAGGCTGGAGTGTAGTGGCATGATCACAGCTCACTGCAGCCTTGACCTCCCAGGTTCAAGGGATCCTCCTACCTTAGCCTCCCAAATGGCTGGGACTACAGGCATATACTACCACACCCAGCTAATTTTTGTATTAATATGTTGTGTAGAGATGAGGTTCTGCCATGCTCCCCAGGCTGGTCTTGAAGTCCTGGTCTCAGGCAATCCACCCGCCTTTGCATCCCAAAGTGCTGTGATTATAGGCCTGAGCCACCGTGTCCAGCCTGAGTCGTTTGTTTTTAGACAGAGTTCTTTTCTGTGAGATTTCATTCTAAGGTACAGTACATTCTGATGTTTCTCGTGTCCATAACTTTTTTTACTCTGACATGTCAGTGATATCTTAGTCTAGTAGAAAAGATTCTTAGTTTGCTGTTTTATTATTTATTTATTTTTTAAAATCAGTACTTGTTATTCCACTATCTGTTAGCTTCCTGTGTTGGCCATCCTTTCATTTAATTCATCAACCAAATATGTTAATTTAAAAGTTACATTTGTATGCAGGGATCCTGTGCCATAAAAAATTACATTTTGATAATTGTGCTTAAAGAATTCTCTTTAAAAGGCTGGGCACAGTGGCTCATGCCTGTAATCTTAGCACTTTGAGAGGCCAAGGCAGGCAGATCACTTGAGGTCAGGAGTTCAAGGCTAGCCTGGTCAACATGGCAAAACCCCGTCTCTACTGAAAATACAAAAATTAACCAGGCATGGTAATCCCAGCTACTTGGGAGGCTGAAGCAGAATAATTGCTTGAACCTGGAAGGCGGAGGTTGCATTTGAGCCGAGATCGTGCCGCTGCACTCTAGCCTGGGCAAAAGAGGCTGACTCCGTCTCAAAAAAAAAAAGAAAAAGAAAAAGAATTATATTTAAAATACTTTCACGAAGTAAAAAAAAAAAAGGTGGAGAGATAAAGCATGTGTCAAATTGTGGTTAGATGAGAGCACATGCATATTTTTAAGAGATGTGCTTTGAAATATGTAGGGGTGATATGACATGGTGTCCGAAATTTGCTTTAAAATACATAGTTGAACAAAGCTACAGTAATCAAAACAGTGTGGTGCTATCATAGAGACAGATAGATAGACCAATGTTATAGAATAGAGAACCCAGAAATAAACCCTCACACATATGGTCAAATGGTTGTTTTTTTTCCCCCCGAGATGGAGTTTTGCTCTGTCACCAGGCTGGAGTGCAGTGGCATGATCTTGGCTCACTGCAACCTCTGCCTCCCAGGTTCAAGCTATTCTCCTGCCTCAGCCTCCCGAGTAGCTGGGATTACAGGCACTCACCACCATGCCCAGCTAATTTTTGTATTTTTAGTAGAGATGGGGTTTCACCATGTTGGCCAGATTGGTCTCAAATTCCTGACCTCAAGGTGATCCACCTGCCTCAGCCTCCCAAAGTGCTGGGATTACAGGCATGAACCACCACGCCCGGCCAGTTAAATGGTTTTTATTTTGACCATTTATTAGGAGAAAAGACCGTCTTTTCATCAAATGATGCCGAAAAACTAGATATCCATAGAGAAAAGAATAAGTTGAACCCTTACCAAACACCATATACAAAAATTAACTCATTAGGGACCAAAGACCTACATGTAAGATCTGAAACTATAAAACTCGTAAAAGAAAGCATAGGGCAAAATCTTCATGACAAAATTGGACTATATACACATTTTTTAAATTGTGCATCAAAAGATAATATCAGAGTAAACAGCCAACCCACAGAATGGGAGAAAATATTTGCAAATCATATATCTGATAAGGGATTACTATCCAGAACATTTAGAAAACCCCTAATAACAACAACAAAAACAAACAATGCAATTCAAAAATGAGCAAAGGACTTGAATAGACATTTCTTCAAAGAATACAATACAATATACAATTGACCAATAAGCAATGAAAAGATGTCCAACCTCAGTAATCATTGGGGAACTACAAATCAAAACAATAATGAGGTATCATTTTATGCCCATTAGGATGGCTACTATCAAAAAAAATGGAAAATATTAATAATAAGTGTTGGTGAGGATGCGGAGACATTGGAATCCCTGTGCTCGGTTGGTGAGAATGTAAAATGGTATATCACTATGAAAAACAGTATGGTGGTTCCTCAAAAAAATAGTAATAGAATTACCATATGATTTGGGAGGCTGAGGCAGGTGAATCACAAGGTCAGGAGTTCGAGACCAGCCTGGCCAACATGGTGAAACCCTGTCTCTACTAAAAATACAAAAATTAGCCGGGCGAGTGGCATGCACCTGTAATCCCAACTACTCAGGAGGCTGAGGCAGGAGCATCGCTTAAACCCGGGAGGTGGAGGTTGCAGTGAGCTGAGATCGTGCCATTGCACTCCAGCCTGGGCAACAGAGTGAGGCTGTCTCAAAAAAAAATTACTATATGATTCAGCAATCCCATTTCTGGGTACATACCCAAAAGAACTGAAAGCAGGGTCCCAAAGATATCTGGGCACTGATGTTTACAACAGCATTATTCACAAGTTAAAAAAATGGAAGCAACCCAAGTGTTCATGGGTTGAATGAATAAGCAAATCCATTCAACCTATGGATGAATGGATAAGCAAATTGTTGTATAAATATACAATGGAACACCACTCAACCTTACAAAGAGAGGAAATTCTGACACATTTATCTGTGTTGTACCTTGAGGACATTATGCTAAGTGAAATAAGCCAGTCGCAAAAAGACAAATATTATATAATTCCAATTATATGAGGTACTTAGAGTAATCAAAATCATAGAAAGTAGAATGGCTGTTGCTGGGGGATGGGAGCAGGGGGGAGATGGAGAGTTGTTTGTTTGTTTGTTTGTTTTGTTTTGTTTTGTTTTTCGAGACGGAGTCTAGCTCTGTCTCCCAGGCTGGAGTGCAGTGGTGCGATCTCGGCTCACTGCAACCTCTGCCTCCCAGGTTCAAGTGATTCTCCTGCCTCAGCCTCCCAAGTAGCTGGGATTACGGGTGCCCGCCAGCATGCCCAGCTAATTTTGTATTTTTAGTAGAGACGGGGTTTCACTGTGTTGGCCAGGCTGGTCTGGAACTCCTGACCTTGTGATCCACCCACTTCAACGTCCCAAAGTGCTGAGATTACAAGCGTGAGCCACCGCGCCCCGCCAAGAGTTATTGTTTAATGGGGACAGAGTTTCAGTTTTACAATATGAAAGAGTTCTAGAGATGGATAGTGATGACAATATTATGAATGTATTTCATACCACTGAACTATAAACTTAAAAATGGTTAAGATGGAAAAATTATGTGCATTTTATCACAGTTTTAAAGGTTAATGGGAAAAATTACTGACAGAAGACAAGAAGTTGATGAAACATGTGTGGCAAAATCTTTATGGCTGTTAAATCCGGCTGATGGCATATGGAGATCTATTATATGTTTTACTGTGTGTATGTAAATATTCATGATAAAACTAAATTTTTTAGTTCCAGAAATTTTTTTTTGGTGCTATTCTCAACTCTTTCTAGGAGCTCTTCTAATTTTTTGTTCATGCTGGGGTCTGGCAGCTGACTGAGCAAAGTCAAGGAAGCATAAAACAGCAGAGCAGGTGCAGGGAGCAACAAGCACTTCAGCCTTGTTGGTGCATACAATGTGAACAGAGAGAAGTAAGTAATGAAAATGGAGCCTCTAGCAAGGGCTGGCTAATGGGCTGCCCTGTAGGCCTCAGCAGATGATGTTCTCTCCCCGTTCTCTACACCCCTGGCCCACCTGCATTCCCCTGCAGCTGCAAAGGAGGACAGTTTCCAGCACACTGACAGCTTCCTGCTTCAAGCATCTGTACATCTTGCTTTTCCTCTGCTTAAGGTTTGGGTATCATGGGAGTTTCCTCAGCTGACAGCAGGTATATCCTGGAAGTGAGGGAGGCAGGATCTTAATCTTAACAATGCAAGGCGGGACTTAGTGGGAAAATGCCCCAGCCTTCTACCCTCCGATAGGATGATTCAGAGGAATGTTCCACACAGTATCGCAGAGGACCTACAGGATTGAGCTGCAGTTGCCTACAGGGGGAACCATGTGCACCCAAATTCTTGTCTCAAGGTGTGGTGATTTGAAAATATATTCACAAATTCTTTGACACTCCTCCCTTCAATAGATGGAGCTAATTTCCCTCCTCTTGAGTACGGGCAGATTTAGTGACTGCTTCTAAGGAATAGACTACAGTAGCTGTGATGTGTGTCTTCCAAGGCTAGGTCATAAAAGACTTTACAAATCTCCACCTTGTTCTTTTGAATCATGCCATGGATGCATGCAAGCATGCCTATCAAGGGACAGAACCAAGGCCCTCTGACAATATCCATCTGCCTGAGCCATCTTAGAAGTGGATTCACCAGCCCCAGTCAAGCCTTCAGATGATTGCAGCTCCAGCTGACATCCTGATAGCAACCCAGTGAGAGCCCCTGAGCCTGAACCACTCAGCTGAGCTGCTCCCAAATCCATAACCCACAATAACTGTAAGAAATAATGAGTGTTTGTTATTGTTTTAAGCTGCAAACTTTTGCAGTAATTTGTTCTGTAGCAATAGATAATACGCAGGGGCTGCTGTTGGGTGAAGCCACATTAAGACATCAGCCGTGATGAACCTTCAGGACGTAATCTTACAGATGGGGAAATTACAAAAGGTTTTAAAGGGAAGCTCCCACCCCAACTAGCAGACCCTACCTCGGGTCTTTTTTCTCTTCAGGCTGCCCACTCTCCCCATGGCCATGGTTCGTATTCTCATCTGAGGTAGCAGAAGCACAAATTGAATGTTTCAAAAATGAAACATTTGTTTTATGATTGCTCTTCTCTTGATGTTGAGAACTCATTAGAATTTTCCTTTGGTCTTCCCCAGCACAGGCATTTTGGTAGGGGGCTTCCAGTCCTACTCAGGATCTGTTTGGTACAGTTCCACTGCCACACCCCACCCACTAATTTCCTCCCTCACTCCAGGCTCACCAGCCCCATAGAGCATGGGGCCACAGTATGGTGCCTAGGGGTTGGGGGTGTTCCACGGCCCTGTCTGACTGTGCATTCAGATTCCTGTTCTCTATCCCCCTGGCCCACTTGCATTCCCCTGCAGCTGCAGAGAACAGTTTCCAACACTGACAGATTTTGGCCTCAAGTATCTGTACGTCTTGCTTTTCCTCTGCTTAAGGCTTGGGCATCATGGGAGTTTGCTCAACGGAAGGCAGGTGTACCCCAGAAGTGGGAGAGGCAGGAACACACACATCAGTAATTGTGTGGCTACTGATGTCCAAGTGGCCTTTTCTCTCACCTCAGGGCCACTTAGGCTGCCTCTCTCATCTGGGATAGCCAAAGAACCTGCATTCTTGAGTGGGGCACTTCCCCCAGAACTGAAGTCACATTCTACCCCCCTGTCAATCCCACCCTAGGGGAACAATCCACGTGCATCCCTGGAATGCTCTCTTAAGGTGCCTCTACATCAGGGCATCCCAGGGAGAACCCATGGCTCCCAGAAACTCTGGAAGTGATCACTATTTTCCCTCCTCCCAACACCTGTGGCTCTGGCCGCGTTGCAGGGTGGAGGGTTCCTTTTCGTGCTCTCTGTGTGATGGACAGGATGACCTCTTTCCCCACTGTGGGAGATGCTGGCAGTGTCCACCCACCTCCTGTCAGCACTTACCTGACTGAAGCTGCCCATGGGAACATTTTGAACAAACAGGAAGTGCCAGGGGATAATGCCCGCAGGGCAGCCCTCAACTCATGATTGAAGGGATCAGTGTCAGCTCTTTATTCCCTCAAGTGGGGTAGCAGAACCATGCTCTACACTTTCCCAGAGTTCCCGGTGGGACTGCGCCCTCCCAGTGTCCCACGATGGTAACCTGCTCCACACACCCCATGTGGGGGTCCTTCACTTCCCCACCGTGCACCTTCCAGCTCTGCAGCTTGCATTCGAGTCTATGTCTCAGTGTCTGCATTTGAAGGAACTATGACACACACAATTACCACTGAATTTCACAGATGTCTCCTTCTAAGAGTGGAGATAAGAAGAAGTTGCCCATCACTCTGAAGCTTCTAAAAATAATTTTCTCAAAACGAAATAGCAAAAACCCTCTCTCCACCCAAATGCAGATATCTCCTTTCAGCCTCTCTGATCCTGAGTGAGAATCGTCTTCTCACATGGCAGCATGATGCCCCTTGAACTTAATCACGTGGGGTCTGGTGTCTTCAGAGGTCCGTGGCAGGGTGTGGGGCTGGGGAAAGGAGGACAGATCTCCTGTGGTGTCACAAGTTATTGCCACAAGCAAATACTTCACAAAGCACTTGGTAGGCTTTGACAAGCCAATGACTATTCTAAACCTTTACCTGGACCTTGTTTCCAAGTTCCAGAACTTAGGACCCTCTACTCACCTGAAGCCACCACGGGATGCCTCTCAAACTGGAAACATTGCCGTCCCTCTCCACCAAAGATGCTTCTCCTCCAGCCCCATCAGCCTCTCTCAAAGCCTGGCTGTCAGAGTGATTCCTTCTTCTCTGTCATTTTCCATACTCAATCTATCACCACATGTTGTGGGTTTTTCTTGCAACCACCTCCTGAGTCTACCCTTGTCTCTCCACATCCACTGTTACCCCTGATAGTAGATCGCATCACTTTTCTCAGTTCTTCACTCACCCTGAGTCCATATCCTTTGCCATGTGCCTTTGCAGCCCCTCCCACTAAAGGTGGTATGTTCTTCCATATGCCTTGACCTTGGGCTTGGCCGTGTTGGCTGACTTCAGCCAATGAGCTGTCACAAAGACTTGAAATGTGCTTGTGTGGCAGGGCTTGCTGTCTTGCACTTCAGACATCATCAAGAGAACATGCTCTGGCTAGCCTCTGGGGCCTGGAGAATGACAGACATACAGGGCAGAGCTGCAGCAGGAAATAGAGCTATCCCACCTGCTCCCTACCAATTATCATTATTTTAAGGGGCTTGTTAGTTACACAGCAATACTGTGGCAATAGCTGACTGATCCACCCCTGTAGTCCAAATGACCACAGTTTCGTTTCTTAACTTCCATAGTAATCTCTTAACCAGTTTACATGTTTTAATTTTGCACCTTGCCACTCCATTGTATAAACGGCAGCCACTGTGATATTTTTATTGTAAATTTGATTGCATCTTTTCCTAGTTTAAAGGGTTTCAATGGCATCCCCTTGCAATTTTTTTAAGATCAAGCACTTCTAATGGTACAGCCATTAAAGGGTTTAAGTGTGTAGATCTCAAAAAGAAAAACAGAAGGCAAATGCACTTATCAAGTAAAGGGAAAAATGCAAAAAAAAAAAAAATTGGGAACAAAGAAATCCTATGCCATCACTCCTACAAATACAACTTCTCAAAACCACATTCAGAAACAATCCTAAGTTTATACAAGCGCGTTCGTAACACTAAACAAAACCAGAATTACAGAAAGCTCTCAATTTATTCTATACTCCATCTCTGTTTTGGACTCTGCAGTAGCTTGTACTGTGTCAACCAAGCTAAGCTGGAGTCATATCTCCCAGAATTCCCTCCCCTTTGTGTGTCCAGGTCAGGGCTGGCCACAGGAGTAACTTGTGCAAGATTTGGAAAGAGACAGACAGCAGCAGCAGCTGTTACATTTGGAAGATGGGTGCAGGCTCTAGATGCCACCACAGCTGCATCTGTCCCCATCCCCATGGCCTCATCTGCCTGAGGCCAGTCAGACCGACAGCTCCTGCTCCTCACATTGGACCTCCTACATTTGCAGCTCTGAGGGTTTTTTAAATTTTTAAATTTTTTGGATACAGGGACTCTATTGCCCAGGCTGGAGTGCAGTGGTACAATCATAGCTCACTGCAGCCTCGACCTCTTGGGCTCAAACAATCTTCTCACTTCTCAGCCTCCTGAGTAGCTGGGACTACACGCACACACCACCATGCCCGGCTAATTTTTGTATTTTTTTGTAGGGATTGGGTTTCTCCATGTTAACCAGGCTGGTCTTGAACATTTGGGCTCAAGCAGTCCTCCTGCCTCACTCTCCCAAAGTGCTGAGATTACAGGCGTCAGCCACCCGCACCCAGCCCACAGACGTCTTCTGTAGGTCACTCCAGATGTATGAAAGACAGACAGGTTCCAATTTGTCCTCATGGGTTTTGCTGTGGCTTCCTGGGTCTCCATTCATGTTTGCTTTTTCCCACTTCGTGTCAAGCTTTTCTTTGTAGCCTGCCCTGGCTGACCCAGGTTTACCACTACACACAAAGAACAGCCTTCCGTAGATTTTTTTCATCGTTTCCACTGTGACATCTTTCTGATCTTCCAGTGATCCTTACAGGTGTTACCTCACCAGCTTTTCCCACAAGGACATAAGGTCTAACTCCTATAATAAACCCATGATTCAAGGGCATCCTATTGCAATATGACTGAAACCCCCAGCTCCTCATCGTGGCCTGCAATACAAGGCATGACATGGCCTCTCCCATCTCATCTTATGCCCATCTCCTCCCTGCTTGCCTGGGTACGGTGTCATCATTCCTTCAGAACAAGAGCCAATTGACTGGATATCATAATTACATTCTCTGTTGAGTCACTTAGATGCTTCAAGTCTCTCCTCCCCACCATTCCTGATTGCCTGGGTCTGGGGAGGAAGAGGTTAAGGTTGTTGGAAGGCCTGGATAGCTTGGGCCTGTTCTCAATCAGAGCACAGCAGGAAGGCGTGGGGCTGCTTGCTGGGTCGGGGAAGTCTCCATAGCAAAGCGATTAGGTCAAGTGTGGGAGAGAACATGCTGAACGTTCATCTCTGTGCACGGAGGAGGGTGGGCTGGGCCAGGGGCAGGAAGGATGGGCGGTCAAAGTCTCAAAGTGGTAAAGCCCTGGGAGTTGGCTTTGCATCTGCAGAGATTTGGCCAGCTCTGGGCGGAGGGTCAGCGTCTCAGGCATCTCATGACAGGCTGGAATGGGTCAATGGACCAGTCTTGCTGGCTGTGCTGTCCAGCCCTCCCCTCCTTGGCTTCTTCCTGATATTTCTTGGCCCAGGAAGCATGTCTGTCCTCCAAGAAACTTCTCCCAGCTGGCTCCTCTCAGCTGGCTCTGCATCGCCGTGAGAGGTGGCGTTGGCTCCCCGTCTGGCCCTGTGGTTTGGACCAAGTACACACATAGGGGAAGGTGAGCTGTGTCCCTGAAACACGACAGGAATCAGGGAATTTGACTTGTCTTGAATATTGTTTCTTGGCTGCATAAGTGGAACATGAAACACCTCTCACCTCCCACCTTCTGTTCCACCCACGCTGGACCACACGCTGTTCTCTGGTCGAGCCAGGCTCCTCATGGCTTTGAACTTGCTGCTGCCTCTGCCTAGAATGTCCTTCCCCATCTCACCCTTAAGACCTGACCCAGATGTCACTCCTTTTATGAGGGAGTTCTCTTCTACACTGAGTCCTGTCTTCCTAGGGGCTTCTGTGTAGTGACTGTATTACATCCCTGGTCTCTACCTTTAACCTCCACACAGAGCACCTGAAACTTTTTAAAAAAATATAATTTAGGCAGGGCGCAGTGGCTCACACCTGTAATCCCAGCACTTTGGGAGGCCGAGGTGGGTGAATCACAAGGTCAGGAGATCGAGACCATCCTGGCCAACATGGTGAAACCCCGTCTCTACTAAAAATGCAAAAATTAGGCAGGCGTGGTGGCGGGCACCTGTAATCCCAGCTACTCGGGAGGCCAAGGCGGGAGAATAGCTTAAACCCAGGAGGCGGAGGTTGCAGTGAGCCGACATCGTGCCACTGCACTCCAGCCTGGGCAACAGAGTGAGACTCTGTCTCAACAAAAAAAAAAAAAAAAAAAAAAAAAAAAAAAAAAAATATATATATATATATATATATATATATATATGAAATTTAATCTCTACTTTGAACCTCCATTTGGCTGGCAGCAAAAATCATGCTGGTCAATTTCTGAGAAATGTGGTCATTTTAGGTTAAAATTTACTTACTTCTGAAATGTTCCTTTCTGCAGTCCCATTCCCACCTTCTCGCCAGGGTCTCATCTCTGTTTCGGTGGTGGTGGGCTGATGGAACATGGATGTCGTCATGGTTCTGGGCACAGCATCCTTCCTCCCTGGCTACTCCCAAGATGTTTGAGCTTCCATGTGGTCTCTGGCAAGACTCATGGGTCCCCTTGTTCCAACCATGAGATGCCCTCAGTTCCCCAGCTTTCTCCCATCTGACTTCCATGCCCTTCTCAGGGTTATGGGAAATGTTAGCTGCTCTCCTATAACATCCTACATCCCCTAGAAGCTCTCTGGGTCTACTTAGGTCCCTCTGCCACCAAAGATGCCTGGGCAGCCCTATGCCATGGGTACCATGTTACTCCAGATGACTGATGGGAAGTGGGGCAGGTCTCTACCTTCAGATCCCAAACTCGTATGAAATCTGACGGTCTTATTGTCCACTCCCATCCTTCTAGATATAACCCTAGAGAGAGGGCAGCATGCTGGATACTCTCAGGATCCATCCCCTCCAGTATCTAAATGACTTGCTTCCCCAGCTCACCTCTCCCTACCTGCCTTCCCCCGACCCTCTTCCCTGACCCTAGTATCTTTACTTTTTAACCGTTTTTTTCAAGCTGGGATCTCACTCTGTCACCCAGGCTGGAGTGCAGTGGTGCAATTCCAGCTTACTGAAGCCTCCACATTTCAGGCTCAAGTGAGCCTCCCACCTCAGCCTCCTGAGTAGCTGGGATGACAGGGGCAAGCCACCATGTTTGTCTAATTTTTTATTTTTTAATTTTTTGTAGAGATGGGGTCTCTCTATGTTGCCCAGGCTGATCTCAAAGTCCTGGCCTTAAGCAATCCTCTTGCCTTGGCTTAACTATTTTTTTTTGACTAGTTAATATATGCACATGGAACAAAAGGAAGTCAAATAGTACAAAAGAACACTCATATTTGTATATAATTTATTCAATCCTACATTTCTTCGGATATAATCAATTGACTCTTCACCAAGAGTAATGACAAAACCACTTTCTCCCAAATCCTCTCTCTTCTCTCCTCCATTCAATTTGGGCTGGTTATTGCTATTATTAGTTCTACTGCTTTACTGTTCCGTAGGGACACTGTGAGTGTTTGTATGAGAAAAATCGTCTTTGTCCAAGACAGTCAAGCATTTTACAGTTTGCTCATTATCTTTGGTCCCCACACACCAAATGACATCAACACTCTCAAGCTCCAAGACCACCAAAGAAGCAGATGCTACCTCTGGCCAACAGCCTCTCTCTAGAGGGTTCTTGTATAACTTCACACTTATTTGTATCCCTAATAGCTGGGCTACAGACTTTAAACGTATCTTTTCTTGGCCTTCAACTACAAAAAAATGAGAAAATCAAGATACTTAACGCATTCTTACCTTCATTGGGTTTTACAGTTTCTGCTTTATAATGGTTTATAGCATTTGTTTTGTTTCGCAACCATAATTCCAATAGTTGTTTTAATTGTAATCCCGAAACATAAATGTATTCAGTGCTCATTATTGGTGTTTTTGCTTCTGTTTCTCATTTGTTTACTAAACTTGGTCTTTCTGTATTTTCTTCAAGGTAGCTGAATTTTTGTAGTTTTGAAAATATATGCATGTTCTTTATTTGGACTACAGTTTGGGTTGATATGAAGTTCCTGAATCATGTTTTCTTTCTCTGAGGACACCATAGTAGCATATGTGGCACAAGATTGTTTCATTGTATTCTAGCTTTGAATCTTGCTGTGCTGATGTTTGTAGTCAATCTGATTTTTTTAGCTTTAAGTTCACGGGTAGATGTGTAGGTTTGTTATATGGGTAAATTGTGTGTCACAGGGGTTTGGTATACAGATTATTTCATTACCCAGATAATAAGCATTGTATCTGATAGGAAGTTTTTACGATCCTCACCTCCCTCCCACCCTCCACCCTCAGGTAGGCCCCAGTACTCAATGTTTAGCTCCCACTTAAGTGAGAACATGCAGTATATGATTTTCTGTTACTATGTTAGTTCACTTAGGATAATGGCCTACAGCTCCATCCATGTTGCTGCAAAGGACATGATCTTGTTCTTTTTTATGGCTGCATAGTATTCCATGGTGTACATGTCCATCACAGCATTATTTTCTAAAACTTCTACATTTTTTTTGTAGATTCAGGGTCTCACTGTGTTGCTCAGGCTGGTTTCGAACTCCTGGGCTCAAGTGATCCTCCAGTCTTGGCCTCCCAGAGTTCTGAGATTACAGGTGTGAGCTACCACACTTGGCCCTTGTAGGACTATTCACAATAGCAAAGACATGCTGTTATTTTTTAATGGATGATCTGATCTTTCTACTGAATAACCAGAAACTCTTTATCTTTGAAGCATGGCACTATTAATAGGATATGTTGGTATTGGTTAATCTGTTACTTTAGCAATTCATTTACTGAATGTTCATTGGGGGCATTATTTTAAGCACTGGGAACACAGCAATAAACAAAAAAGGACAAAAACCCCCATCCTCATATCTCAAGGAACATACATTTGGCTGTAAACATACATTGGGCATAGTTTAGAAAAAACTATATCCATTTTCCCAGAACATAGTATGGTCTTTCAATCTATAAATTCACATTTTCAGTTTAGGAAAGTTTTTTTTAGTGTATATATTTGAATGCCAATTATACATATGTTGACTTTCTTCTGCATTTGTTCTATATCTATTATTTCTTCTCGTCTTAAAATTCACTGTTATTCTCCATGTTACTGCATTCATTTTTCTGAAATGTACCTTCCAGGCTTCTAGCTGAATTTTCATAGCGTTTTGCTCCTCCATTCGGTCTTTTGTTTCTGTGATAGTTTTATTCTTCTCTTTCACTTCTTTTCCTGAGTCCTGGTAGCTTATATTTCTCTTCTTTCCCTTGTCTTGTAATTCTTTTCTGGTGCACTTGTAATTTCTCTTTTTTTTCTTTTCGTTGTCTTCTTTCTTTCTTTCTTTTGTGCTTGCTTGATTTTTTTTTTCTTTTTTTTTTTTTTTGGACAGGCTGTCACTCTGTTGCCCAGGCTGGAGTGCAGTGGCATCATCTGGCTCACTGCAGCCTTGACCACCTGGGCTCAAGTGATCCTCCCACCTCAGCCTCCCAAGTAGTACAGGCACGTGCCACCATGCCCAGATAATTTTTTAATTTTTTTTGCAGAGATGGGTTTTTGCCATGTTGCCCAGGCTGGTCTCAAACTTCTGGACTCAAATGATCTGCGTGCTTTGGCCTCCCAAGGTGCTGGGATGACAGGTGCGAGCCACTGCACCTGGCCTGTAACTTTTCTTGGAGTAATTGTTTATAGATAATTTTTTTTCATTAAGTTTCTGAATTCATGAGAAAATTCTTGGTCCCAATTATCATCTATCCAGGACAAAGTCTTCCTTAAATGTTAGCAAGAAGTCTCTTTCTGGCTCATTGGAAAGCTCTGAACAACAGAGTTGTGTGTGTGCATGTGTGTGTGCATGGTGGGTGTGGTGGTAGATTGGCCTTTCCTATGCCAAACACAGACTGTGTAGTTTCACCATGGTAATATATATATATATATACACACACACACACATATATATACATATATATACATATATATAATCAATATCTATAATTTTGAACGTGTATTCAATTTGTATTGATAGGGTAACATTTTTCCCACCAAGTAATTGGTATTTCCTTCCAAAAATGGAAGGGGAGCTTTGGTGGAATGTAACCCTGGGGTTAAAAAAACCGGAATGGATTCCTAGGAAAATTTTATGACATATCCCACGTAATCTGAAACATGGTTCAGTTACCAAATTGTTTATAAGCACTTTGTTTAGCAGGAAGGTGGCCAAGAGAGAGTTTAGCCTTGAGGCTGTCTATCAAATACTTTTTGTGAAAAGAGACAAAAGGTGGAAATGAGTAAGTTTAGGTTATGTACTTTAGGTCCTTTTCTTTTCTTTTCTTTTCTTTTTTTTCCTCTTACCAGCACCTGTTTGTGTTTTAACTGAGGAGGGAAAGCCTAGTAAGATAGGTCTCCTGTCTGGGGCCCAAGACATGTGGACATGAGCCTACTTAGATATCAGCTGAGCGAGAGCTTCAATCCACTCTCCCATCTGCAAGGATGGATCCAGACACTGTGTCATATAAATATTTTAAATGCTATGGAAATTGCTTAGTGGTGGATAAAATGAACTCTTTAATTAAGATAGTCCTGCCCCATGAAAGATAAACTTGTAGAGTTCAGTGACAAAATCTTTGTTACTCAAATTTCCCTAGGTCTCTCAAGTTTATGAGAACAAATGGAGTCACATTAACAGCCATAAATCTAAATGTCACCAACTCACTCAGACTTGAGCCATTTGAAAATACCTCTTCTGCTGCTTTGGTGGTGGGGGCAAGGGCGGGGGCACAGGGCTGGCAGTGGGGACAAATTCCTAGAGGTACCTCGCACAAGCTCATAAGCAAATACAGGGGACTTCAGACTTGTGTCTGCTCAATACCCTGGTCGCGTCAGCCTTGATTGCAGTATCCTGTTAAGTTCTTTAACAGTTCACTATTGCTATAAAACAAACTATGCCAAACCGTAGTGGCTTAAAGTGACAACCATCTATTTTGTTTATGCTTTTTATCAGCTGGCTATTTGGGCTAGACTCAGCTGGGCTCCCTCATGCATTGGTGGTCAGCTCTGGATTTGGGTATGGGACTTGACAGATCTTGGTTGGGCTCTTTCACATGCCTGGGGCTTTGGCTGGGACAGCTGGGCCCACTTGGCTCTGGGTCATGTGGTCTCTCATCCTCCAGCCAGCTAGCTCAGGTGTGTTCAGTGGTAGAGGCAATGTTCCAATAGAGAGAGTGGGAGAATGCAAGGCTTCTTGAGGCCCAGGCTCTGAAAAGGCACAACATGACTTCTGCCTCCTTCTATTGGCCAAAGCAAGCCACACTGTCAGCCCAGATTCAAGGTGGAGAAGTAGACTCCACTTCCTTATTGGAGGAACTGCAGCATCACATTGCAAACAGCAAGTGTGCTGGGAGCCAGTAGTCGTGACCGTTTTGGCAATCAAGCTGTCTCATTCTAGGTAGTGTTGTCAACATAACAAGCTCTTGAAATAGAGAAGCTGAACAGTGGAGGGTTGGCCCCTTAAGTATTACTCAGCAGGAGGGTTCCCAAAACATGGTTGCTTGGGTCTGAGAATACCCGGAGGTTTACAAAACAGCCCCTTCAGTTGTAACCTAGAGCCCCTTCTTCTTCCCAGGAGCCCCCTCCTGTGTGTCCAGGGGACCAGATTGGGAGCAGAGTTGAGTGACAATCTCATTAGCCTTCTGTCAACTCAAGCCGCGTTACCACTTGTTTTCTTCTTTCTTTAGAATGCAGATTCTCTCCCAAGAGGGTCTTTTTTCACCCGTCAAGCAGATGTCCAGCTGGCCTGCCACGCTGGTGCACCAGACGTGTGAAGAGGTGGCGGCAGCCCAGGGGTAGACCTCACTTAGGCTTCCTTATTTCTCTATATCTCATTGGATCTTCCTCTGTAAATTCTTACCTCCTGGATAGCAGAGGGGAAAAATATCTGAATATTAGTCTGGTAAATGAAGTCTTATGCAATACTAAATGGTCCCTCTGGTCTTCTTACGCAAACCCTCTCTCAGAGTTCTTCCTTCCTGCCCAGCTCTTTTTAAGACGCATCTTTGGGAGAGATTGAACCTTACTCTGGTGGTGGCAAGTGAGGCTCGTGCTCAGGATCACGGGGAGGCCTCTGGGTCCTCCCTGGGCCCCGCTGCAGATGGCCTGCTCTGGACCCTCCCTTGAAAGCAGAATGCTGGACGGGCTGGTCCCATTCCTGAGTACTGGGCTGGCATCTACTGCTGACGCCTGCAGCGTGTGCAGTTCAAGGTCTGGGTGCTCCAGGCTCCTTCGGATCTCTGCACTCTGATCTTCACTCGGCCTTCGCTGATGCACCCTCTGGGTCTCCATTATGTCCTCCTGCCAGCCCCTGATTTAGCCAGGGTCTACCTGCCCCTCTTCATCCTGGGGCTTAGAGCAGATGATTTGTTTGTTCTGTGTCGCATCCCCTCAGCCCATTTCTCATCCCAGCAGGGCAGTGGTGGACAGCTCCACGAACAGGAACTCATTCCACCTTAAGGGACAATGGCTCCTGTTTTTCTTTTTTCTTCTTTTTTTTTTTCTGGATTTTTGTTCTGTCACCCAGGCTGGAGTGCAGTGGCGCGATCTCGGCTCACTGCCACTGCAACCCCCCACCTCCCAGGTTCAAGCAATTCTCCTGCCTCAGCCTCCCACGTAGCTGGGATTACAGGTGTGCGCCACCATGCCCAACTAATTTTTGTATTTTTAGTAGAGACGGTGTTTCACTATGTTGGCCAGGCTGGTCTCGAACGCCTGACCTCAGGTGATCCGCCTGCCTCGGCCTCCCAAAGTGCTGGGATTACAGGCACGAGCCACCACGCCCGGCCGGCTCCTGTTTTTCTGCCTCAGATGTTTCTTTTAGAACAAATATGTCCACACAAACCAGGAAGTAAGAGGAGGTAAGCTCAACTAGAGGAGAATGAGAGGAGTCAGCAGAAGAATGCCCCAAACCCCCCACCTTTAATGAGATATTTCTGAGGCGTGTTCTACACAGTTCCTTATACGGTCCCCAGAGAAGTCAAGCCCCAGTTGCCCCCAGCAGTAACCTGTCCAATAATGCACCTTCCCCACTCTCCACTTCCTCCCTCCCTCACTCCTGCGTTCTGGGTCCTCAGTAAATGATCTGCACCCAAATCCTTGTCTCAGGCTCTGCTCTTGAGGGAGCTCAAACCAAGACAGGCCCTGTTAAAAAAGCCTGTGGCTCACACAACTCAGCTTCCCTCTGAAGCTCCTGGTCCTTGGGAGCAGGTGGGAACTTTGGCATTACATCTATGCCACACGGGGATTGTGGGTGACCCCAGGAAGCTGAACCCAGGCCCTCCCTCTGTGTAGCTATGGTGCTGCACTGAGCTGACTTGTGTGAGGCTGTCTAGGTTGGAGGAGAAGCGAGTGGGCAGACCGTGTTTTTTTTTTTGTTCTTGTTTGTTTGTTTGTTTGTTTGTTTTTGACAGTTTTGCTCCTGTTGCCCAGGCTAGAGTGCAACAGCGCCATCTCTGCTCACTGCAACCTCCGCCTCGCAGGTTCAAGCAATTCTCCTGCCTCAGCCTCCTGAGTAGCTGGGATTACAGGCGCCCACCACCACGCCCGGCTAATTTTTGTAATTGTATTAGAAATGGGGTTTCACCATGTTGGCCAGGCTGGTCTCGAACTCCTGACCTCAGGTGATTCTCCTGCCTCGGCCTTCCAAAGTGCTGGGATTACAGACGTGAGCCACCGCACCTGGCCTGTAATCCTTGATTCTATCCCCAGAACTCCACTTAACCCACCAACATACCTCTGCTCTAAGGTCAAAGGTCACAAATAGGGGAGACGCAGCATCCAGGACTTTCTGTCTTCCTCCCTTTTCCCAGAATCCACTGGGAACTGAGGAGTGGGCTTTGGGCCTCCCAGTTCTCTGCATAGCCTCCTTTTCCCAAGCCACACAGGAGAACTCTGATCTGCCTCTCCAGCTGTTATACGGGGAGACAAAGAAATGCAGAAGCTCCTTTTCTTTCTCTGGCCATGCTTGTCATTCCCACTACTGTTTTGCTAAGGAAAAAAGGAACTTAGCTTTGAGACTCCAAACTCATCAGTGGCCTCCTTGTTCTGTAAACCTGTGCTGTCCCAATCTGGTAGCCTGTGGCTATTGAACACTTGCAACATGGCAAATGCCCCTGAGGAACTGAATTTTTTTTTTTTTTTTTTTTTTTGAGACGGAGTCTCGCTCTGTCACCCAGGCTAGAGTGCAGTGGCGCGATCTCGGCTCACTGCCAGCTCCGCTTCCTGGGTTCACGCCATTCTCCTGCCTCAGACTCCCGAGTAGCTGGGACTACAGGTGCCCACCACCACGCCCGGCTAATTTTTTGTATTTTTAGTAGAGACGGGGTTTCACCGTGTTAGCCAGGATGGTCTCTATCTCCTGACCTTGTGATCCACCAACCTCGGCCTACCAAAGTGCTGGGATTACAGGCGTGAGCCACCACGCCCGGCCGGAACTGAATTTTAAGTTTATTTATTCATAATTAATTAAAATGAAAATGTATATGCCGATCCTCGATTCAGTTATTGGGCAACATTTAAGTATGTTTGAAACAACTTGGGCATGTGAATCTACTTTTTCAACTAGAAGTTTTACAAAATCTGAATTCAGATCAAGTAGTTTTGTTGAAATTTTAATGTCCAAATTGAGATGTCCTCAAGCAAAAAACACGCTAGATTTCAGCCCTAGTATGAAACTAGGATGTGAAATGTCTCATGGATAATTTCTTTATATTAATTACACGTTGAAATGATAGTATTTGTAACATATTGAGTTAAATAGAAATCTATTACTAAAATTAATCTCACCTGTTTCTTTTTACCATTTTTAATGTGGGTGCTAGAAAGTTTAAAATTGCACCTGTGGCTTGAGTTGTATTTCTTTTGTATTTTTAGTGGAGGTGGGGTTTCACCACGTTGGCCAGGCTGGCCTCAAACTCCTGACCTCAGGTGGTCTGCCCGCCTCGGCCTCCCAAAGTGCTGGGATTACAGGCATGAGCCACTGTGCCCAGCCACAAGTTGTGTTTCTATTGGAGAATTTTAGACAATTCTAGACAATGCTCACCTGTTGCTTCCTGGGCCATGAGCCTCTTGGTCTGGCCTCTGGTGGTAGAAGCCTATAAGAAAACACGGTCTGGCCAGGTGCAGTGGCTCACGCCTGTAATCCCAACACTTTAGGAGGCCGAGGTGGGTGGATCACAAAGTCAGGAGTTCGGGGCCAGCCTGGCTAACATGGTGAAACCCTATCTCTAAAAAAAATACAAAAAATTAGCAGGGCATGGTGGCACATGCCTGTAATCCCAGCTACTCAGGAGGCTGAGGCAGGAGAATCTTGAACCTGGGAGGTGGAGGTTGCGGTGAGCCAAGATTGCACCATTGCACCCCAGCCTGGGCAACAAAAGCAAAACTCCATCTTAAAAAAAAAAAGAAAATATGATTTAAGGGTAGACTTTAATTATTAGTTTAATATATGCAAAATATTATCCCTGTTCAGATGTGTTGCTATATTCTGCCTTGAAGGATGAAGGATGAAGGGCTATTCCTTTCTCACCTGTGGCTTTGGTATGGGGAAATTGATGAATGGAAAAATGTTTTCTGGTGACTTGCGTGAATGAATGAATGAATCAATCAATCAATTTATTCACCAAGATGGAGAATCTAAGTAGAGAGAAATGTGTTCAGGGCTTGGCAAGATGGCTTGTGCTTGTAATCCCAGCACTTTGGAAGGCTGAGGGGGAGGATTGCTTGAGGCCAGGAGTTTACGACTAGCCTGGACAGCATAGTGAGACCCCATCTCTACAAAAGATACAAAAATTAGCTGGCCATAGTGGCACATGGCTGTAATCCCAGCTACTCGGGAGGCTGAGGCAGGAGGATCTCTTGAGCCCAGGAGATTGAGGCTGCAGTGAGCTATGATCATGCCACTGCACTCCAGCCTGGGTGACAGAGTGAGACCCCATCTCAAAATTACAAAACAAAACAAAAACAAAAACAAAAGTAATGGGTTTAGTTTTAAATAGGGCCTAGGTTCAGGGTTTCTGGTAGCCCAGTATGTACAACCTGAGCTCATCCCTAGCCCCACTGTCACAGGAGGATGAGCTGCTCTTTTGGGAGATTAGATTAGAGAATAAGGGATTCTAGCAGCATCTGGCTGCTTTCCTGAGCAGCAGAGCTCCAAGCCCCGGAGATAGAAGTCATGGCCACCTTTCACCAAGTGTCTGGGGTGCAGGGAGGGCCAGTCTGTGATGAAGGAGAAGAAAGAACCCCTCAGGGAAGACTTTCTGGGTTACGGGAAGCCCTTTAGGCTCTGGATTTGCCTCTTATACTGAGCTCTCCATGCAGTTCTGACACTGAGATTAGATGAGATTATCGAGAAACCACTGCGTCTGCAAATGCATTCCCCCAAGGTTATTTCTATTACCTGCAAAGGAAAGAAGCTTAACACATAGAGTAGTGGGTCCATATGGGGAAACTTAATGGGAGAACTTTAACTTATTTAATTTATAGTGTTTATAGCCCAAGAAGAAAGAACCAGAAGATATATACATATTTTTTCTACAAATAAAGCTGATCAGTGGCCTCCTTTTTCAGGGTAGCTGACACAGTTCTCAGCACCACCCTACAGCTGCATTTTGGGTTCAACAGACTTTTGTGGCTGGCCTGGGAAGCAGATCACCATTTATAACATTGTTTCTAAGGGAGACACATTCCAAGATCCAAACAATGAATTTAGTAAAGAATGCTTGGCTTCCAGGCTGGATGAGCTGGTCTGGCTGTACCTTGGGGGTTGGCCTGAGGCTCCCTTCCCCTTTGGTCCGCAGACACTGCAGGGTTGGGGATAGGCACGTGAGGGGGAGAACTCTGAGTAGATAGGGAACCTGCAGCCGGGCTGCTCAAGGGCCTCTGTGTACTGGGGGCGCCAGGAGGTCCAGGGATGGAAAAGGGGGAGGTGAGAAATGGACAAAGAAACTTGGCCTCCTTGGCATTGCTGTCACGTCTGGCCGGCCCGCCAAGTCGAAGGGGCCTGTTTAGCCCCTGTCCGGCTCAAACCCTTTTGGGAATAAGCTGGGATGTTAGAAAAAACAAAATCCCACAACCTCTGCCTGGGGAATCCAGGCCGCTGGAGGTGGGCTTGGTAGGGCAGCGTGACTGTTCCCTGGGAGTGGCTGTCACAGCTCCGGGTGAACCGAGGAGCTTGGGCCAAGTCTCCATCCCTCTTGGAGAGGGCAGCAGCAAGGAGGTGAGGGGAGCCAGCTCATCCTCCCCAACCCTGCACTCCCCCCCCACCTCCCCACCCCCAGCCCGGAAGAATCGCTGGCGGCGGGAGCCTGGACGAGCTGGCGGGGAAGGGGACGCAGCCACAGCATTGTCTGGGAGGGAGGGGAGAAGCTCCGCCCCTAGAGGGGAGGGGAGAAGAGGAGGGGGCAGGAGACAAGGGGAGGAAGAAAGGCGAAGGCAAGGCGAAGGGGTGGAGAGTGATATGAAGAGCGAGAGAAAAGAGAGGACAGCGGACGAGCAGATCCGGTAGGGGCTGAAAAAGGCCAAGGGGCTGGAGGGAGGGAGAGGAAGGAGGAGGGGAGCGAGGAGGGCGGGGCGCCCGGTCCCCAGTCGCGCGGCCACCGCCTGCCCAGCCTGGCTGGATTTGAGCCCGGCCCGCCGATCGCTGGCCGAGGCGCAGCTGAAGCAGCCCCCCAGCCGCGGCGCCCCCACTTTCCAACTCCACGGTTCCTGCGGCGCGGGCGCGATGCAGCTGGCCCGGGGTGAAGGCAAGGCGCGGGGCGCGGGGCGCGGGGCACTGGGAGCGAGGCACTGGCGCGGGATGCCCGGCGCAAGGTGCAGGGCGCGGGCCGCTCTCTTTCCGCGTCCCCCCACCTCGCCAAAGTTTTTCCACGATGGTCCCTACCCCGGCTGGGTCAGCCCCGTAATCCTCGCCTGTCTCTTGTCTCCTCTTTCCTCCCCGAGCCGCGGGGCTCCCGGGGCGCGCGGACCCCCGCCAGGGGCCGTGTAGGCGCGGAGCCCCAGCCGGCCTGCCTTGGGTCCGAAGAAAGTTGTGGCTTGGAGCTAGTCCTCCTTCTACGACCCCTGGGGGCGTCCTTCCTTCTTTTTGAGCCCGCGATGGGAAGGCGCTCCCACCCCATCCCCGGGGTCTCTGAGACTTCCTGGCGAGGTGGGGCGGCGCGGCAGGTGCAGGGCTGGGGAGGGCCTGACAGCCCTGGAGAGTGCCCGACCCCAGTCCGCCGCCGTCTTCTAGGCGGATTCCCCAGAGGCAGGTCCCAGTCCCCGGCGCGGGGAGGCGGCGCGCTTCAGAGGGGCGCAGGGTGCGCGGGGGCCGTTGGCCCTCCGGGCACTTCCCCTTTGCGGTCTCCCCGCCCTCCTTCGGAGCTGGTGCCTGAGGTCGCTGGGACCTCAGCCTGGCGTCTTCTCTCGCCCCGAGCGAGGCAGGTGCCGTGGGCGGCCCCGGCTACTTCTGCATTTCGAGCGCTTACTTTGCATTCAGCTCTAAGTCGGAGAGCTCTGGGGACAGCCGAGAGTGCCAGTGGCCTCATAGGGAGACTGAGGGTTCTGTTTCACCTCGGGCGCCGTGTGGGTCTGGGCTGTCCACAGCACCTCTGCGCCTCAGTGATAGGAGAAGCCAAGCGCGAGGCCTCTCAACAGCTGCGTGCACTCTATTTCCCAGGTATCTGGAATCCCGGCGCCTAGAACGTGTTTTTCGGGAGAGCAAAGGCTGTGTCTACGGCAGCCTGGGGATATAGTAAGTACCTTGTAAATGATGAATGAATGTATGAACCAATCAGCTGACAAACAACAATTTGTCCTGGAGGGGGACCCAGTTCCTGCCACAGTTGATCTTAGTACAATGGGAGGAAAGAATTAGAAACAATGATTCTTTTAAACAGCCGGGAAGACAGAGCCAGGGGCCTTCTTTCAGGAACATCTGGATGAGGAATCTGCAGCTAGGCTTATTTTACTAATAAATCCACATTTACTTACCAGGCACTTTTTCTGCAGGTGGTCTGAAGGATTAAAGAAGCCTCGCATGGCGAAGATATATCGGGTTGTTTGAGGAGAGTTAATTTTCAAAAAAACCAAAACACTTGTGTTCAAATATAGTGTCCCAGGGACACAGTGTGACATCTACCTGGGTGGTGGCCATTTGGGATCAGAGACCCTTGCGTGGGGGCTTTGAGGGTGGGCAGTAGCTGTGTTTTCTCCTCTGGACAGGTCAGCCTGATGCCTAGGCTGTGGCAGTCCAGCAGGCCTCACAGGGGTGGAAGAGGGCCTCAAATGATGGCTGAGCTTGGAGAGGGCAGTAGTTTTGGAAAGAGCGGGTGTTCTTGCCCTGGGAGAAGATGGAGGCATAGCGTGCAGCCTGCCTGGGCACGTGGAGTGTGGACTGGTACAGCTTGGGTTCCCTGTGCTGGGGAGGCTGGAAGGTGAGTTCCGCTCCTCCTTCAGCAGATGGAGGAGCAGAGGTGGAATATCAGGGAGACATATGGTAAGTGTTGGGGTGCAGCCTAGACATATCCCAAGTGCTCCACTCCCCTCATTTTTATTCTGTTGAAATTGGGTTGGAATGGTGATGGCCCCTTTGAGGAGCCTGGCTGAGAGGAGACCAGGGATCTGAGGTCCCTTTTCGTGCCTTCCTCCAGGGGAAGGGGACTGTGTGCCCTCCATATCTGGCCAACTGGGGCTGCGCCCACATCTGCTGTATCTGCAGCCACATCATCCCCACTTCCCTGAGCGTGGCCTCACTCTGTCCCTAGTGCTCTGCGGCCCACCTCTCTCCATCTCCACATGGCTTCTGTTTGGAGGTTCAGGTCTTCTCGCCAGTTTGTGCCATCTTAGGAGCCCAGTTGGTGTGGCGGACAACCCTACACCTTGTTTTCAATCCTTTGGATGCTCTGACCCACCTGAGACATCCCAGTTGCTATTGGTTTTGCTTTGACTTCTTGGTCTATTTCCTGGTGCCCCGGAGCCAGGCTTCGTGTCTGCGTTCCATACGTGAGCTGCTTAGGAATGGCTGAGCGAGTCAGCTGGAGAAGTGCCCAGGGTGTGCATCTGCTGCCTCAGAGGGCTGGACGACGCTGCTTGCCAGAGAGGAGACCTGTCATCAAAGCACAAAAGAACATGGGCCTGATTATTACTTTCAGTCCTCTTTAGGATATTTTGGCAGGAAGTGTCCTTACTGAGTGGGAGGTGGGGGCAGAAAGGCAGGGTCAGGTTGCCAGAGAGTCTCACGGAGAGGCTGGGAGATGGACTGAGTGACCCCAAGAGTAGTCCCAGGACTCATCTCCTCCTCTCTTCCAGAGCGAGAAACAGGGCAGGTCTCAGCAGTGTGCTTGGAATGGAACAAGATGTTTAGCCTCTATCTTCAATCTGTAGTAGCTGAGAACTGCCACAGCTGGGTTTATAAAGCAAGGGGTAGAAATTCCCTCCTGCTACCTCCCTAATACTCTTCACAACATCGTCCAGTTGTTTACTGTAATGACACACTGTCCTATTTAAACACTTCCCTGTCTCCAAGAAGAAGTTTTATTTTTTATTTATATTTATTATTATTATTATTTTTTGACATAGGGTCTCTCTCTGTCGCCCAGGCTGGAGTGCAGTGGTGCAATCATGGCTCATGCAGCCTCAACCTCCTGGGCCCAAGCGATCCTCCCACCTCAGCCTCTTGAGGAGCTGAGACCCCAGGCATATGCCACCACACCCAGCTAAATTTTTATTTTTATTTTTTTATAGAGATGAAGTCTCGCTATGTTATCCAGGCTGGTCTCAAACACCTGGCCTCAAGCCATCCTCCTGCCTCAGCCTCCCAAAGTGCTAGGATTATAGGTATGAGCCACTGTGCCTGGCCCAGAAGAATGTATAAATGTCCTCAAGGTGGAGTGAGCTCCCACAGGTCTCACGGCTGGTTTCATTTATTTGGCCTGCTTGTTGGTTACTGTGGACCACATGGCCGTGTGAGGCGGGGGTTGGTGAATGGGGCAGGAGGCACCAGGGAAGGAGGGTGGCACATCCTCTGACTTGGGCTATGCAGCCAGTGGGTCATTTTTTATCACTTCTGGGATGGCAGACTCTAAAGTCTGTCATCACAGGTTGATGCTGCTGTTTGCGGTGACAGCTTGGGGCTGGGGAACTGCTGCTGCTCAAGGCAGCTGTGGCAGAACCAGAGAGGGACCCTCTCATCCATTCCTGTGGAACGGGCAAAATGACTTCCAAGGCCCTTTCCTGTTCCTTCAATTGGTGAAAATTGGCAGAGAAATACCTGTGCTTTCTTTGAACATGTCGACCCAAAGTGATTTGGCAAAGTAGATTTCCTTCATCAGCACGGTGCTTTAACCGTAGTTGGCATTCAGTGAAGTGTGATTAACTGCTCATTTTTATAAATGTCATGAAAGAGTATTGGATTTGGAGTTTGAATTGCATCTTACCATTTCCTAGCTGTGGGATACTGAATAATGTAATAGATGCTGTCAGTCTCCTGCCCATGTTCCACTGGTCTCAACCAATGACTGATGGGAGAAGGTGTGCAAATACTCCAGCTTCCTCGCCTCTCTTTTGAGATAAGTTTGGGGCATGTTCTGTGCTGTCTCTAAGAATTCCCTTGCAGGACCGAATCTCAATTGCTCATAGTGTTAGCTTGCTCACTTCCTCATCTCAAGTACATTTCAAGTACAAAGGGAGTGTACTTTGTACTTTGTACACTCCCTTTGTACTTGAACTTGAATTCTTGTTTCACGATCTACTTTTGGGTGAAACCAACCTAAGACAGGCTTTAACTTATAGTTAAAAGTCATTAAAAGTCTCAGTTTCAGGCTGGGCGCAGTGGCTCATGCCTGTAATCCCAGCACTTTGGGAGGCCGAGGTGGGTGGATCACCTGAGGTCAGGAGTTCAAGACCAGCCTGACCAACATGGTGAAACCCCGTCTCTACTGAAAATACGAAAATTATCCGGGCATGGTGGCGGGCGCCTGTAATCCCACCTACTCAGGAGCCTGAGGCAGGAGAATCGCTTGAACCTGGAAGGCGGAGGTTGCAGTGAGCTGAGATCTCGCCATTGTGCTCCAGCCTTGGCAACAAGAACAAAACTTCCTCTCAAAAAAAAGAAAGAAAAAAGAAAAGAAAAGACTCAGTTTCCACAACTGTAAGATGGGAATTATAATAAGTATCTCACAGCAATATTGTGAGGGTCAAATGGGCTATCATGTGCTTAGCCTGGCACATAGCAAGCATGTAGAAAACCATTTGCTGGCTAGAAGCAGGCTATGATGGATTTCAGAGTGTGTATTATGGTGGAACATAGAGAGTTACAGTGCTTTGGAGAGAGGCTGCTCTTAGGTTAGGTGAGGAAACTGAGGTCACCTGCACATGGTTTGTATTCCTAGGTTGTGACCAGCGACGTGCTGGTGAATATTTAACACCCGGCTCTTGGTAGGGGCTTTGGGGGAAGCCCTGCTTTGTGGTGTTTTCCAGTTTATATGATATAAATAAATATTCCCACTATGGCTGACTTCACTCTACCAACCTGGTATCAGTGAACACTCAGTTGGGAAGAGTTGTGCGCCATTGGCACTTGGGAGCCAGTAGGATCTGGCCCCAGCACACATCGGGCCATGACTAAGTCAGCATGTGACCCCAGTGATTTTAATTTCCAATTCTGTACATGCGGAGGGGAGGATAAGATTTGTATTAGGCATCCAAGTCATGGGATATGTTCAAGCGCTGCCCCAAACCGGTTGAACCTCACCTGCATGCGAGACACTTCTGGGGTGCATTTAGTGATTATGATTATTATTGTGTTTTTTTTTTTGAGTTGGAGTCTCACTCTGTTGCCTAGGCTGGAATGCAGTGGCACGATCTTGGCTCACTACAACCTCTACCTCCCAAGTTCAAGCGATTCTCCTGCCTCAGCCTCCCAAGTAGCTGGGACTACAGGTGCATGCCACCATGCCCAGCTAATTTTTGTATTTTTAGTAGATATGGGGTTTCACCATGTTGGCCAGGCTGGTCTTGAACTCCTGACCTCAAGTGATCCACCTGTCTCAGCCTCCCAAAATGCTGGGATTACAGGCATGAGCCACTGCGTCTGGCTAATGATTATTGAAATGTTTATGCTGTGAGACTCTGGTTCTCAGTTTCCCCATCTCCAAGGCAAGGGATTAAATGATTCCATATGTCCCTTCTAACCCTTGATCTCTTTCAGAAGAGTCATTGCCTTGTCCTTCTGTCTATACAAGAACAAAACCTTTAATGACAAAAAACCTTTCCTGTGGACTACATGTGTGCCACCCACCATGAGACACCCAGCACTGGCCCCTCCTAGAGTCCTTCCTCCTGGGAATTCAGTGGACATTAACCCAGTATAATCCTGCCTGTCTTGTATATCAGTGTCACCTCAGGACTCCGGCATGGTGTGTCTCCAGAGGAGGCCTGGAGAGGTGGGGAGGGAGGGACTGGTTTTTTTTGGAACGGATGGTCCCTTCCTTTCTGAATCACTATGCAAAGTTATAGACACCCAAGTAGAGTCTGCTCATGGTTTGCATTCCTAGGTTGTGACCAGTGACGTCCTGGTAAATGTTTAACACCTGGCTGTTTTTGGAAGGAGGTTTGGAGAAAAGTCTGTGTGGAGAAAGAGAACTTTCTATGACAGAATTCATCATCTTGGTGTAATTTTACTCTTAATGCTCTGTTGACAACCCTCCCAAACAAGTCCCTGACTCAGCAGTTCCACCCCTAGGAATTCTGCCCCTAGGGATGTAATTGGATAAATGCAGAAAAGTATGTGTATGGGGATGTCCCTCGCAGCATTATTTATAATAATGATAACACTCCATAGTGACAAATGGAGACCAACAGTCATACATTAGTTAACCATGGCATGTCTATACTTTGGAATACCAAGTGGCTACAAAAACATAGGCTGCAGGTGTGTAGCTATTAACGTGGAAGAATATGATATATATGTATTTTTGAGATGTAGTTTCACTCTTGTTGCCCAGGCTGGAGTGCAATGCCATGATCTCAACTCACTGCAATCTCCGCCTCCCGGGTGCAAGCAATTCTCCTGCCTCAGCCTCCCGAGTAGCTGGGATTACAGGCATGCACCACCACGCCAGGCTAATTTTTTGTATTTTTAGTAGAGACAGGGTTTCACCATGTTGGCCAGGCTGCTTTTGAACTCCTGACCTCAGGTGATCCACCCGCCTCGGCCTCCCAAAGTGCTGGGATTACAGGTGTGAGCCACCAGAATATGATATATTTTTAAGAAGCAGCTTACCAAACTATGTGCTATTTTTACAAACTGTATCACCCATCTATATTAGCATCTGGAAGGATGTATGGTAAAATGTCAATAGTGATTATCTCTGGGTGGTGGAGGTTTGCGAGATTTCGATCTTCATCTTTTTTCATATGTAATAATTTATTTTTATGTTTTATTGTGGCAAAGTACGCATACCATAAAATTTACCCTTTTAACCGTTTCTAAGTGTACAAATTAGTGGCATTAACTCCATTCACAACGTTGTACAACCCATCACCATTATCCATGTCCAGAACTTTTTCGTCGTTCCAAACAGAAGCTCTGTACCCATTAAACAATAACCCCCTCACTCCTTTCTCCTTCCAGCTCCTGGTAGCTTCTAGTCTACTTACCGTCTTTATGAATTTGCCTGTTCTAGCTACCTCATATCAATGGAATCAAACAATATTTGTCCTTTTGTGGATACTAATCTTTTCATTTATCTATATATATTTTTCGTTTTTGTTTTTGAGACAGGGTCTCACTCTGTTGCCCTGGCTAGAGTACAGAGGTGTGGTCATGGCTGACTGCAGCTTCCGTCTCCTGGGCTCAAGTCATCCTCCCACCTCACCTCAGCCTCCCAAGTAGCTGGGACTACAGGTGCACGCCACCACACTCAGCTAATTTTTTATTTTTTATAGAGACAAGGTTTTGCCATGTTGCCCAAGCTGGTCTTGAACTCCTGCATGCAAGCCATCCTCCCGTCTCGGCCTCCCAAATTGCTGGGATTACAGGTGTGAACCATGGAACCTGACCTATATTTAAAAAATAAAACAAAAAATGTTTATTTTACTTCTGCAATTGAAAGGAAAGCCCCGGGAGACAGCTGTGGTATTTGGCCCCTGGAGGTTCCATCTCAGGCTGGGTCATGTGGTCCTGACTATCCTTCCTGGCCTGGGCAGTATCAGGGTGCTGCCTCCATCTCAGCCTCACAGGACAAAAGTGGCCAGGGTGCAGACGTGCAGCACCACTGGCTTGGGAGCTGACCACAGCATGGCTTGCTGGCTGCTGGCAGCTGGCCCTTGGGGCCCAGACCCACTGCTGCTTAATCTCAGGGTTTTCTGTGTGGTGATGAGTTTGGAAATGTGGGCTCACGATTCGCCATGACTTTGAGGGAGCAGGTGCCGTGCAGAGAGAGAGATTCAAACCAGGTAGAAGTGGAGTTGTGTGGACACTAGCTTCCCTGAAGCTCGAGAAGGAGGATCTCTGCCTTTCTATTTCAAGCATCCTTTGTGTGTGCCCAACGCTTGCCCTGCTAAATACCCATCCCAGTGGCTGTAGGGCTGGTTGTTGAATGTTTTGTCCATAGTGTGGCATGGGGTGCAGGGGGGACTTTAACTGGTGGAGTCCATGAGGCCTCAGGTACTCTGGGGAGATGGGTGGTGGTAGCCTCAGATAATCAGTGCCCCTTCCTAAAGTGCCGTGTAGGGTCTTACAGCTCATCACACAGACATTTAGGGCAAGGATGGCTCTTTTGTGTACAGTCGGGGCCATGGTGCCACGTAGTTGGGGGGCTGCTGAGGCAGAGTTTGCCCGCAGGTCAGCTCAGGAAGCTGCGGGACCCAGAACAGGGAAACCAGGTCACGTGACTCTATTCAGGGGTCACGGGAGTGGGTCAGGTGGCTTTTCTCTGGGACATTTGCTCTGAGGCAAATGCTGTGAGTTCCTTGTTAGGTGAGTTCCCCGAAGCGCCCACGGCTCCTCCAGTGAGTTGGTAAAAGCGTGAGTCTGGGAGGGCGCTCAGGGTCTCTTCACCTGGCCCTGCCCAGTGGGTGGCTACCTTATTAATCTTAGGTAGTCGTCCGGGTGTACAGAGGTTTGATAGAGCCGCCTCTGCGGGCCACGTGGAGGAGCAGTTCTGCTTTTCATGGGGCTGACTTTCCTTTAGGGTTGGTCAGCTGTGCCCAGGGCAGACAGAGGAGGTTGTGAATGTGCTACTGTGGCAAACTTCCCCTGGAAACGGTCTGGAAACCCCCCGATGTGCCATTTCTCCTGGCACTAGGAGGGGTCTGAGATCTGCAGTGAGCGGGGAATTTCCCCGCACACGTTGTTGGATGCGTTAACTCAAGGTTAAAGGAGGGTGGAGGGTGGATGTCAGATATGCCGCAATGACTGCCGCCCCGACCACCCTGGAGGGCTCTGGACACACCCGGCACTTCCTTTGCTCTTCCCACTCACTGCTTTTCAAGTCCAAGGAACCTGCCGGGGTCTGGGGGTGGAGGAGGCCAGCGATCCTAGCTTTTGGGTTTTCAGTCCTGTCCCCAGGTGGCGAGTAGAGGAAACCTCAAGATCTCCGCACACAGAGCTCAGAGTCTCAGCCTATAGCACCAAAAAAGGAAGAATGCTGGGGTTCCCTTGAGGAAGGGGATGTGAAGTCAGAGATGAGTCTGAGTGGCCTGTGACTTGGAAACCACTCAGTAAACAGGAAGTGTCGATACCAAAGAAATCTGAGCTTGTAGGAAACAGGGGACCCGGAGGCAGCCCCTCCTTACCTGCCTGGATCTGTCTGTCTCTGTCTCTGCAGAGCTGGGAGACGAACCCTCAGATGGGCCATCGGGAGCACTTGGGGACACAGGCCTCAGGCCCTCCCTGCAGGGTGGCCTCCCTTAAATCCTGTAGTTATTGGACAGGAGGAAAGCTTACCTTGCTCTTCCCCAGGTAGGACATTAAAACTACCCTATAAACTGGCTCAGCTTTGAGAAATGCAGGTCAGGGAGTGTCTTGTCTTATTTGCTTTATTGGGGCCAGTGTTGTCTCCACCAACTTTCCACTCTCCCCTTGGGTCCTACAGTCACATGGAATGTCTCACTTGGTTGAACTGGAGCCCACGAGGGACTATGTCTTGGCTGGTTAGCATTCTAGGTCTTTAGTTTCTCTGAGCCAGAGTCTAATTCTACACATACCAAGCACACACACCATACATGTGGATACACACACATACACAGCCATACACACCACCCCCAACCATACCCTCCACACACACACACACACACGCCACACACTGGACTCTCACTCACACACCGGGAGCTATGCTCACACCCACGCACACACAGCTGCTTTTTTCTGGAGTCTGTGCTTCCTTTATGCTTCCTTTTTCGTCCCGCTCCAGCGCCCTGCCTCTCTGATTAGTGGCTAAGCGCTCTGAATTTCCTTCTGCAACATCCATCCTAAAGGTCAGGCACTTGTGGATGCCAGTGGGGCTTCCCTGTAAACATGTGGCTGCTCCTCCGGTCTGCGAGGCCATTGTCTGGGTGGGCCCAGCGGTGGCCTTCTGGGTCACTCACCTGGCCACCCTCCCACTGGGGTGGAGCTGGAGGCAGGCCTTTCCGGCAGGAGTCCCAGGACCGCTTCCTCCCATCTTCCACAGTCGCGTCTGGGAACCCAGGCCTGTGCAGACAGCTTGGGCAGGGAGGGCTGGGCCGGGCTGGGCCACAGTTGGTGGCAGAAGAGTGGCGGCTTCGTAGGCTGACATGCTTGAAGAAACCCCAGCATGGCCCTTGCTGTGTTTCAGTTCCTCCTGTGTCGGTGGGCCAGGCAGGGGCAGCTCCGGGGATGGGAGTGCGGTAGCTTGCCAGGAAGGGGCTGTGCCTGTCAGTTACCAAGCATCGGGGTTTTTCTGGGAATGGGGTGGGGATGGTCTGCGGGGCCTGTGAATGGGAGGGGTAGTTCATTGTCCCCTCAGTGTCCCACCCAGTGTGTGATAAGGGACTGAGAGTCAGTGGCTCTGTGACTGCAAGTGCCCACGTCCTGGACCTGCGGCTCTGGGCCTCTCTCCCTGGCCCCTGCAGGGTCTGCTTTTCCCACAGCTTGTCCTCTGGGCTGGTCACTCACTCGCCTCCCATCCCCCAGACCTCCCAGCCTGCTGTGGGCTGGTAGCTGGAGCCAGCCTGCACCTGCTACTCGCATAGTGGCCCTCTCAGATCCAGCGCTCAGCCAGAGAGCCACAGGAGCACTGGGCTGCATGTCGGCTGTGCCACCTGGGACAAGCCACCTAACCTCTGAGACCTTCTGTTTCCTCATTTGTAAAGTGAAGTCTTCCCCCTGAGGTTCTTGGAGGGACTAAGATAAAGCATCTAGAGCCTGCTACCACCAGCAGCATCAGCAGCAGCCCTGGGCGCTTATTAGAACTGCACCTTCTCAGACCCCACCCCAGAATTACTGAATCAGAAACTGGGGCAAAGGGACCTGCAATCTGTATTTTAACGAGCCCTCGGAGAGATTCCAATACACACTCAAGTGGGAGAACCTCTCCTCCAGAATACAGTTGGGTTGGCTGATTTTTGGCTGAAAGCACTTTCTTCCTTATCACCTCAAGAGAAGCTGTAGTCTACAGGGGTTCCGCTTGGCACCTGCACCGCCCTGGATTTGAGCCTCAGCTCCGCCCCTTCTAGCTGTGTGTCTTTGGGCAAGTGGCATAGCTTCTTTGTGCCTCAACTGTTCAACTGCAAAATGAGGATAATAAAGTTTCTTTCGTAATGAGGTTGGTGTAGGGGTTAAAGGAGTCCAGGCAGTGATGGGGCTTCTGTTCCATAAAGCAGGAAGGCAGAAGGCAGAGTATGCCATTTCCTTCCGAGGCAGCCCACATTTTGCCCATGCCCAGGACAGGCTTGGGTTTGGGAAGCATGATCTGGCATCTCTTGCCATCTCTAGGTCTTGGCAGGGCCCCAGCCCGCAGCTCAAGTCTCCTTCCTCGTGTGGTGCAATGGGGCTGGGGTTTCCTGTTTGCCATCCACACCGCTTCCTGCCCCACTACAAGGGGTCCGAAGCGCAGAGGGATCACTATCTCCTCTGCCATTGCTTGGTTACAAAGCAGATTCCCTCAGGAGACCTGGCCAGTTGGTCTTTAACACTGTAGTGGAAAGCACTGTGTCCAGCAACTTTCTTCTCCAACCCAGGAGATCCAGGTTGTCCTCAGAGGGAGGGGCAGGGCTCAGAGAAGAGGTGTGCACAGGCCCCAAAAGAGGAAGCTACAGGCCTCCAGTGAGCGTTTCCTTTGCATCAGACTTGGGGCCTGGGGCTGGGGTTCTGGCTTCTGTGACATGGTGCCCTGGCTTGCAAGAAGGAGCCCTTTGCGTCAGCTCAGTGCCTGCACACATAGACCCTGCGGGACACTCTACACTGTCCCCTTTCTCCTTGGAAATATTAGTAGTAGGGAGAGGGTGCTAAATACCCAACTCAGTTTGCTTTTAGAAAATTCCACCCCTTCCTTTCTTGAAGGGCTGCTTTGAAATACCTATGGTGGTGTCCTCAATCTACACAGCTCTTTCCCTACCAGGTTCCACAGTGGCGCTCAGCCCTGGATGTACACTGGCATGACCTGGGGAGGCTTTGAAAGTGCTTCTGCCTGGGCCCCTCCCCTAGAGTCTGATGTAATTGATCTGGGCTGCAATCTGGATGTCAGGATTTGATTTGATTTGATTTTTTAAAGAAGGGGATTCACTCCATCTCCCAGACTGGAGTGCAGTGGTACCATCATAGCGCACTGCAACCTCGAACTTCTGTGCTCAAGCGATCCTCCTATCTCAGCCTCCTGAGTAGCTAAGACTACAGGCATTAACTGTGCCTGGCTAATTTTTTATTTTTTTATTTTTTGTAGAGATGGGGTCTCACAATGTTGCCCAGGTTGATCTTGAACTCCTGGCCCCAAGCTGTCCTTGTGCTGTGCTGCAATTACAGGCATGAGCCACCATGCCTCGCTGACATCAGGATGTTTAAAGCAACCCCTCTCTCTACCCACTCCCTGCCGCTGCTCTGGGAGTCTCATGAGCACCTGGAGTCAGAATCGCTGTGACGTCGGGTGTCTCTAAGCCACCTCTTCCCACTGCCCCCCATCCTTGGTTTCAGTCCAGGCTTTGGCAAGTGCTCAGCCCTCCCACTGGTCAGGTGGTGGCTCTGTGGGGTCTGCCACCCTGGGAATTCTCCATGGAAAGCCCTCTCCTCCCCAAGCCTGTCTCAGAGACTGGGGCTGCCTGGAGCCTATAGAACAACTGTTGCTCTCCCTCCCTCACCCCCACTGGGAGCTGAGGTGGGGGTGGTTGGGGCCTGGCCCCTGCTCTACAACCAGAAAGACAATTCAGGAAACAAAAAACAAAAGTGACCACCAAAGGCAGCTCTTCCCCTCTCTCACCCTGGACTTTCCTGCCAGGGCTGCCCCTCCCTTGGAGGACTTCCCAATTCATAAATAAGACGAGAGGTGCTGGGTCTCCAGGCTGGAACTGAAACCACGTAGGGCGAGCCAGGGTCCTGGGGATGCTCTGAGACCAAGGAAAGGTGGCACGTTCTCCAGGCTCCCTGATCATGGAGCGTTTGGAGGAAGCAAGACCTAAGAGCAGAGGGGATTCTGCTGTTTTTGGTGGGAGCTCCAGACGCCTTTCCCTCCTCCTAGAGCGTCTTGAGAACTTGGTGTGTGCTCTCCTCTCAGGAAGCTGAGGCTGTGATTTTTGGGCTTGGCCAGCCCTGCATTTGTTCTTGGAGAGGCCTCCTGTGGGAGGCTGGAAACACCTGCAAGTGGCATCTGTGGGAAGGAAGGGAAAGGATCCTTCATGCAACTGCTGCAGGGCTTCAGCTGGTCCAGAGCTTGGGTGACGCTGACCCCGTTCCGGCAGCCTAGGCTCCAGCGCCAGGCTGGTCCTGAGTGGGCAGCTGTTTCCTCCCAACTTGAGAGTGGGTGGGGGACAGTGACAGACCCAGTAGTTGCTTCAATCTCAGATATGGAGCAGGTGTAATGGATGCTGCTGTACCACCCAGGTCCCCTTAATCTATTGCATGCTGTGAGTGTTGACAGTGCTGGGTCTTAGCGGCACACGTTTCCTGAGAATTGCTCTTGCAGGGAAATGCCTACGGGCTGTCCCTCTGCCAATGATTGACATGCAGCGGTCCAGAAGCGCCACCTGCCCACCTCCACGTAGGACAACTCTGGGGGCCCTTCACACCACAGAGCTCCCCAGGGGATCAGCTGTGGCTGGGCTCCAGCTGAACGCACCTCATTCCTAGCTCCTCCCACTGCCCCCGTCCTGCCTCCCCCACTCCCTTACAGGTTTCTCCTGAAAACACCTGCACAATAAATCACATGCTTTCTTTCAGGCTCTGCTTCTAGGAATCCCCTGGCCTAAGGTAGCAGGTTAGTGTCCCTGGACAGACTGCTGATCCCATCCCCTTCCTGGAAGCAGTAATCATGATAACCCGGGTGCAGGAGAGGCACAGGCTGGGAGCTGGGGGCTGGGGGCCAGAGAGGAAGCTCCAGGCCCAGGAGGGGAGAGAAACACCAGCAGGGGACTTCTGTGTGGGGTACGTGCTGTGCTGAAGGGCAGGCCGAAGTGGGAGTGCCTGTCCCTGCATTGTCCAGGGGTCATTTATAGGGGGAGGTAAGTTTTGATGAGGGTCGAGGCTAGAACATGTGAATCTGGGTCTGAGGGGGAGCATGGGCACACTCACAGAGCATAAAAAGTAGGCTCCGAAAGTTCTCTGTGGCTGGGATGTCATCATATTAAATGGCCAGAGGACCTTCCCTTTGAAAAGACGTCCTCCTGGGTCTTAGGGAAGGTCTTACCCCCAAGCTGTCTTTCAGGCAGTCAGGAAGTCATGAATGGGTCTCCAAGTAACCAGCTGAATTCCACTGACAAGCAGAATGCATTGCCCAGGCATTTAATGGAGCTGAGGAGAATTTGGAACATTCTGCCAAAGCATGAAGCCAGTGTCAGAGGGAAAACTTGACTGGTTGGTGGCCCCAACAGGGTTCCAGCATGACAGGAACCTGGGAGACTCATGTCTCAACTAGGCAAGCCCAGCTGTATTCACATCTCCAGCTATTTTGGCAGACATGCTTTGTGGTTAGTAGACATTCAATATATGCTTTATTTTCTAAAGTGTTTTTTCTAAAAAGAAGTACTGATTTAGAATTCTAGAGGGAGTAAGTAACTATGTTCATAGAGGAAGTTCAGTAGATTTAAATATGTTTTAGACTTCCAAAGAGCAGCTCCATATTAAAAATGATTTTTGAGAGATAGCTCACACCTGTAATCACAGCATTGTGGAAGCCAAAACAGGAGGATTGCTTGAGGCCAGGAGTTTGAAACCAGCCTGGGCAACATAGTGAGACTCCATCTTTACAAAAAATAAAAAATTAGCCAGGTATGGTGGCGTGTACCTGTGGTCCCAGCTACTCAGAAGGCTGAGGTGAGAGAATCACTTGAGCCCAAGAGGTCAAGGCTGCAGTGACCTGTGATCGTGCCACTCCATTCCAGCCTGGGTGACAGAATGAGACCCTGTCTCAAAAAAAAAAAAAAAAAAGATTTGTGTAAAATTTGCCCTTTCTTTCTTGTCCCCTTTCTGCCCCTCTTCTCCTTTCTCTGTGTGGTAGACTATGAGGTGTTTTAGTTCTGTGCCTAGATGCTGGCTGATGTGGGAAGCCCCTCTTTCCTCCTTGCCTCAGTTTCCCTCCTACAAGACATAACAACCATTAGTCTGTATTCCCAAGGCCCCGTGGGAAGTCATGATCGTAAATGGTTCTTAAAGGCATTTTGGAGCCCAGGAGAGCACCATAAATTCTGGATAATAACAGGGGAGGCAGAAGCATTGCAACCAGCCAGCTGAACGAATGAATCCCTGTCTCCAAGGCCACAGATAATGGCAGGCACCCCTGGAGGAAGTGTCCAGTTGAATCCAATTGAATCCACATTCCTGTTCCACAAACCGTCTTCCTCTGACCTTCCTTGTGTGAGGAACAATGCTCTGTTTAAGGAATATCAGAGTTAACTGTGAATTTCCGGCCCTCTGTTAGTGCTGCTGCTGTTTGCCTTAAGGTGGATGTGAATGTAGCTTAGTATCTTTAGCTGGCTGCAGGGAGACAGTGCTTTGTGAAGGTGGTTGGAAAGTTTGTGAAGAAAGGTGCAGATGCCCAGAGTGGGGCAAAAGAGGGATTGGGTCCTAGAATCACCTACCTGTAATTTCAGTTCAACTTTGGGTTAGGCTATGCAAATATTTTCTTAACACTTTTTTCCCAAGAAATGTCAAAGTAAGAAAAAAGGTGGGGAGAAGTCAGGCCATAGACAAAGATGGGGCAACATGACCCCATAGGTCGGAGTTATAGCTATGGCCTTGGTGAGATCACCCAACAGGTAGAGAGTGGCTGAGCCCTAGAAAATTCCCACAGTCGGGGCCATCAGACTATCTGATGTGTATCAATCTGGTAAGTAAAAAGTAGGGTCATGAGGGAAGTTGAACACCTTTTCATGGATTTATTAATTACTTGTATTGAGTTTTCCATGAACTACTGTGCGTGTCCTTTGCCCATTTTATGAATGAGCATAGAACCTTTTTCTTACTGATTTATTAAAGCTCTTTATGTATTAAGGACATTAGCCCTTTACCATATGTTTTGTAAATATTTTTCCCCAGTTTTCAATTTGCCTTTTTGACTTTGTATAGTTTCCTTTTTTTTTTTTTTCTGAACAGAAGTTTAAAATTTTCACAGGTTGGTATCAATTTCTTCAGCATTTTATTTTTCAATGTTTAAATTTTTGGTTCAGTTATTTCTTTTGGTGGAAGGAGTAAGCTAGCGATTTCACTTCCCTGTCTTCCCCCTTCCAAACGCCAGCGAATTCTCTAGTGATATTTTAAAAAATTAAGCTACCTTTCCCCTGCTATTTAGAACTGCTGCTTACATTCCATGTTCCCAGATATATTTGGGTCTATTTCTGTATGTTTATTGTTTCATTGCTCTGGCTATTTTTTTCTGTAGAACCAGATAGTTTTAAGAATCAAATTCTCTAACTGGTATTCTCAGTAGATTTAAGAAGACATGGTATTAAAAAGAATTGTCTTAAGAGCAGGACAGATGCAGAACTAAATTACCAAATGATAGGTTATGTTGGAGGCAAAGAACGAAAGAGAGAGTCCTGGAGAAAATTCAATTGGTGAGTTAGAAGATTAGCTGGAGAATTCTGAGAAAAATAAGGAAATGGAGGGTAGCTGCCGGGGTGGATGGATGCATAGTGCTAGAGAGAGAAGAGATTGCAGAAGAACCAAGAATGGACCGGCTGCAGTGGCTCACTGTAATCCCAGCACTTTGGGAGGCTGAGGTGAGAGAATCACTTGAGGCCAGGAGTAAAAGACCAGCTTGGTTAACATAACAAGACCCTGTCTCTATAAAAGAAAAATTAAGAAAAAAATTAGCTAGGTGTGGCAGCCCATGCCTTTAATCCCTTCGGGAGGCTGAGGCGGGAGGATCGCTTGAGGCCAGGAGTTTGAGGCTGCAGTGAGCTATGATGGCTCCACTGTACCCCAGCCTGGGTGACAGAACCAGACACCGTCTCAAAAAAAAGAACCAAGAATGGGAGGAAGAGGGGAAATAATCAAAGAAAGATAGAATAACATTTCCCTGGCTGAGGAAAGACTCCAGTGTTGGAGAGTGAGAAGGGCTGCCGACAGCAGGCACCGTTCACCTGATTTCCACTCCAACCAGGCTGCGCGATCAGCTCTGGCTGAGTTCCCCCATGACCTTTGTGTGGTTTAACAGAGGCTGCTCTGGGTTCCCCTTCCTTGGGCTCTGACCACCAGCTCCTGGCTCTGCTGGCCTTGGCCTCCTTCTCAAGGCCCCTTGTTTCCTGGGCTTCCTTGGTACCATGTCTCCTGTTTTTCCTCTTTCTCCAGGGACTCCTTCCTCTGCCCATGCTGACCAACTGGGTTAATGGGAACCCTGCTCTAGGCCCTGTCCCCTTCACCCCTTCTGTTCTTTCCCGATGACCTCATCCTCTCCCCTCACTTCACGTGCCAGGAATTGCTCTCCTGGGCCCCAGGCCTGCTGTACTTCTGGTTATCTGCACTGGAAGTTTCCATGGGTCTGCCTGAAACTCAGTCCTGGTCCTCACTTCAGCAACTGTGAAGGTGGCACCTCTGCCTACGTTGCGGTCCTCGCCAGCAGCCTGTGCGTCACCAGGACTCTGCCTGTCACCCCACGTTTCATCCGGCAGCACACCCTTTCCCCAAAGGGTGTGCTTTCCACATCACGACTTTCCTCTTCTTCTTCGAACTCTCTAGAGTCTGTCTCTCCAACTCGGGCTCCGGCCTCTCAACTGGTCCCCGGGATGCTCTTCTCCCGGATTATTTCTCCACAAAGCAAGGCATTGGGTGGGTGACCTTTCCAAAATGTACATCAGATCACATCCCTGCCCTCGGAATTCCCCTTGTTTTCCTCTTGCTGCCGAGAAAAATGACTATAGTCTTGGTGGTTTAAAACAACAGAAATTTAATACTTATATTCTGGAGTCCAGAAGTCTTGAAGTCAGTTTCTCTGGGCCAAAACTAAGGTGGTGGTAGGGCTCTGCTCGCACCAGGGGCTCTGAGGCAAATCTGTGTCCTTGCCTTTCCCAGCTTGTGAGCTGCCTTCAAGGTTCATGGCCCCTTCCTCCATCTTCGTCCACAGTGCAGCGTTTTCAGATTTCTCCCTCTGCTGCAGTTGTCACGTCGCCTTCTCTCTGCTGTGGCAGAGCCTCCCTCTTATAAGGACACTGGTGGTTACATTTAGGGCCCCCCAGATAATCCAGGATAGTCTCTTCGTTTCAAGATCCTTCATTTAATCACATCTGCAGAGTCCCTGTTACCATATAAGGTAATTTTCACAGGCTCCAGGTCGGGGCCCAGGTGTCTCTGGGGCCATTCTTCATCCTCCACACTCACATGGCCCAGCATTGCCCACCAGATGAAGTCCAGACTCCTCACCAGGTCGGGGTTCTGCTCGTGCCACCCCATCTCGCACAGCTCCGAGTTGCCTGCTCTTTCTGCCTGGACCTACTCGCCCCTCATCTTTGCCAACACTGAGGTCTCAGTTTAGAGGTCTCTTCCTCCAGAAAGCCCCCCAGGACCCCACCCTCATCCGTAGGTGTCCTTCCTGTTTGCTACCATAGCACTCACCCTCCCTTGACAGAGCCCTCTGCCCCCACACATCCCCCTCCTCCTGCACCATGTGCCTTGTTTCCTTGACTGCTGAGCCACCATCGTGAAGCACGATGCTTGGCACGTTGTAGACACAATAAATGCTTGTTGAATGTGTAAATTTATACATGTGTAGAAGGGGCAACTTTTTAGAAAAAGGGACACTGACTAGTTACGGGTAATTGTCACTTAAGAAAGAAAAGTTTTGGCCAGGCATGGTGGCTCAGGCCATAAACGCAGCACTCTGGGAGGCCGAGGCGGGCAGATCACCTGAGGTCAGGAGTTCAAGACCAGCCTGGCCAACATGGTGAAACCCCGTCTCCACTAAAAATACAAAAAATTAGCTGAGCGTGGTGGCACATACCTGTAATCCCAGCTACTCAGGAGGCTGAGGCAGGAGAATTGCTTGAACCTGGGAGGCAGAGGTTGCAGTGAGCTGAGATCGCACCACTGCATTCCAGCCTGGGTGACAAAAAAAAAAAAAAAAAAAAGAAAGCTTTCTCACTAGCTCGACTTTCCTTTTTTTCTTTTTGCGCGTTACATGTGTACTCCGGTTTTCATGATCAGATTATTCTTCCTTTTTTGGAAAAGTAAAAAAAATAATAAAATTTAAAATTTAGAGAGACCAATTGTGTTCTCAGGGTCCCACTTTTGGGGACACTGGTAGGGTCTGAGTTTTCTGAATGGAATCACCCATGGTAACCGGCAGTAACAAGTTACCAAAACTTAGTGGCTTAAAGTACATTTATTTTTATTTTATTTTATTATTTAATTTAATGAATTTATTTTGAGATGGGCTTACTCTGTCGACCAGGCTAGAGTGCAGTGGCGTGATTGTGGCTCACTGCAGCCTTGGCCTCCCGGGCCCAATTTATCCTCCTGCCTCAGCCTGCCTAGTAGCTGGGACCAGAGGTGCATGCTAGCACATCTGGCTAATTTTTTATTTTTTGTAGAGATGGGATCTCCCCATGTTGCCCAGGCTGGTCTTGAACTCCTGGGCTCAAGCGATCCTCCCTCCTCGGCTTCCTGAAGTGCTGAGATTACAGGTGTGAGCCACTGCGCCTGGCCTTATTTTATTATTTTTTTAAGAGACAACGTCTTACTCTGTTGCCCAGGCTAGAGTGCAGTGGTATGATCATAGCTCACTGCAGCCCTGAGCTCCTGGGCTCAAGCAATCCTCCTACCTTAGACTCCCAAGTAGCTAGGACTACCTGTGCGTGCCACCACATCCAGCTAATTTTTAAATTTTTTTTTGTAGAGATGGGGTCTCCTGCTGTTGCCCAGGCTGGTCTCGAACTCCTGGCCTCGAATGATCCTCCTGCCTCGGCTTCATGAAGTATTGCAGTCACGGGCATGAACCACCATGCCTGGCCAACGCTAATTGATTATCTCACAGTTCTGTAGTTCAAAGGTCTGACACGAATCTCACTGAGCTAACATCAAGGTATCAACAGGGATGTGTTCTTTTCTGGAGACTCTAAGACAAGTCCATTTTCTTGCTTTTCCAGCTTCTAGAGGCTGTCTGTGTCCCTCGGGTCGTGGATCCTTCTTCCAGGAGGTCGAATCCTTCTCACATTGTCTCACTGTAATACTGGTTCCTATGCCTCCCTCTTCCACTTAAAAAATATATTGTGGGCTGGGTGCGGTGGCTCATGCCTGTAATCCCAGCACTTTGGGAGGCCGAGGCAAGCAGGTTGCTTGAGTCCAGGAGTTCAAGACCGGCCTGGGCAACATGGCAAAACCCCATCTCTACTAAAAATGCAAAAAACTAGCTGGGCATCATGGCATATGCCTTTAGTCGCAGCTACTTGGGAGGCTGAGGTGGGAGGATCACTTCAGCCTGGGAAAGTCGAGGCTGCAGTGAGCTGAGATTATGCCACTGCACTCCAGCCTGGGTAACAGAGTGAGTCTCTGTCTCAAAAAAAAAAAATATATATATATATATATGTATATATATATATACACACACACATACACGTGTATATGTATATAGTGGTAAAATACACATAAAATTTACCATCTTAACCATTTTAAAGTGTCTAGTTCAGTGGCATTAAGTAACTTCACATGTTGTGTAACCATCACTGCCGTCTATCTCCAGAACTCTCTTCCTTTTGCACACTCTGTACCCATTAAGAAACTCTCCATTTCCCCTTCTTCCCAGCCTCTGGCAACCACCGTTCTACTTTTTGAAGAATCACCATTCTATAAAATCAGTCTCTGATTTTGACTACTCTAGGTACCTCATAAAAGTGGAATCATATGGTATTTTTCTTTTTGGGTGTGGCCTGTTATAATGTCTTCAAGGTTCACCCATGTTCTAGCATGTGCCAGCCTTTCCTTCCTTTTTAAGGCTGAATAATATTCCACTGGATGCGTATATTCCATTTTGTTTATCTGCTCATCCTTCAGTGGACACTTGGGCTGCTTCCACCTTTGGGCTGTTGTGAGTAATGTGATTTTGCCCCTGGGGACACTTAGTAGTGTCTGTCGACAGTTTTGGTCATCATCACTGGGGTAGTGCTGCTGGCATCTAGTGAGCAGAATCCAGAGATGCTGCTAAACACCTGCAATGCACAAGACAGTCCCACGACAAAGAACAGTCCAAGGCCAGGGGCGGTGGGGCACACCTGTAGTTCCAGCTACTCGGGAGGCTGAGGCGGGGGGATCGAGGGAGCCCAGGGATTTGAGGCTGCAGTGAGCTATGGTCATGCCACTGCACTCCCAGCCCAGGTGACAAAGTGACATCGCTTCTCTCCAAATAGAAATTAAAAAAGAATGGGCCAGCTCCAATGGTAATAGTGCTGCTGGGCGCGGTGGCTCACGCCTGTAATCCCAGCACTTTGGGAGGCTGAGGCGGGCGGATCACCTGAGGTCAGGAGTTTGAGACCAGCCTGGCCAACATGGTGAAACCCTTCCTCTACTAAAAATACAAAAAATTAGCCTGGCGTGATGGCGGGCACCTGTAGTTCCAGCTACTTGGGAAGCTGAGGCAAGAGAATCACCTGAACCTGGGAGAGGGAGGTTGCAGTGAGCTGAGGTCATACCACTGCACTCCAGCCTGGGCGAAGAGAGTGAGACTCTTTCTCAAAAAACAAAACAAAACAAAACAAATGGTAATAGTGCCAAGGTTGAGAAATCCTGATATATATATGTATATATATACCTATCTGAATAAATATTTATACATGTAAATGTGTGTATGTATATGCATATTTTATACTTACATAGATTTTAAACAAAATTAGACCCATAGTTTTGTTACCTGTGTTTTTGTAATGTATTGTTATAATTAAATTGTCTTTCACATTGTAATATTTTAGTGGTGTCTGTAGACACATACTGTGATTTCTCGCACTCGGCTGTATTTGGGCATTTTCAGGTGGTTTACCCATCCTCAGTAGACCTCAGTAGAATCGGGCTGTCCCTGAGATAACTCTCTATTCTGTGTTGTGACGGTCTCTTCAGAGAGGAGGACTCATCAGTCATCCTTGGAACCAATGTGGCTGTCAGTGTGCTCTGTGGCTGGGGCATTTGTGCTTGGATTGTCCAAGGGTTGTCGTCTTTCCTTTGGATGTTTGTTCTCAGAGGCTGTGGCAAGCCGAGGCAGCAGCCAGCAGTGTTGCCCCTCACAGCCTTGGGTCAGTGTTAGCTGTGGATCTGGGTGGGGAGGAACGGAGAGCCATGGCGTCCAATTTTGTGCCCCCTCCCCACCCCAAGTTCTGCTGAGTTCCCAAGCACACAACTTGACTTTAACCTCTGTCTTCTCCTTCCAAATGTAGGCCTCTCCTTCCGATGAAAAGAGAAAGGAAGAATGGACTACAGCCACCAAACGTCCCTAGTCCCATGTGGACAAGATAAATACATTTCCAAGTAAGACGTTTTGCTGGAGTGTTTTGTCCTCAGTGACCAGTCCCGTGCTGGGATGTTGTGGGTGGACGGCAGCCGCTGGCAGAGGGCCCCCCACTGTATATCAGACTGGTGGGGCTCCTGCATGGGGGAAGGAGCCAAGCAGCTGAACTTGGACTTGTAAGAGCGTCAGGGCTGCTGCTATAGATAAAAACATGTCCCGAGAGCCTGGCCTGGAGGTGAAGTAAAGGGGAAGTCAAGACGCAGAAACTTTGGGGGCTCAAAAGATGTGGTATCCTGGAAGACTTCCAGGAGGAGGAGTTGGCTGGTGGCTGTTCGCTATCTTCTGAATGTTTGTGTCTCCCCCAAATTCCTATGTGGAAACTTCACCCCAAGGTGCTGGTATAAGAGGTGGGGCCTCTGGGATGTGATTAGATCTAAGTACCCTTATAAAAGGCCAAGGGAGATTGTTTTTCCTCCGCGGTGTGAGGACGCAGTGAGAAGGCACTGTCTGTGAGGATAGGGCTGTCACCAGACACTGACTCTACCCTGACGTTGGACTTCCTGGCCACCAGAGCTGTGAGAAATGAATTTCTGTTCTTTAGAAGCCACCCAGTCTATGGTCCGGCAGCCAGAATGGACTCAGACACTGCTCCCCGTCCTGTCCGTTGTGTTCCCAGGGAGTCCTGGCTGGAGTAGTGTGTCCCTCGGCTGCTCTGGGTCTGGCTAATGCCCTCTGAATAGAAGGGGACAATTTAATTGCTTTCTGTGCACTAAAGTCTCTTGAGCTCAGGCTTTTTGCTAATGTGACTGGGCTTGAGCCAAAATAGACCCTTGAATTGGAAGTTCCAGCATAAGATTTCTCTATCTCTTTTTTTTTTTTTTAGAAGGACTCTCCCTCTGTCACCTAGGCTGGAGTGCAGTGGCGTGATCTCAGTTCATGGCAACCTCTGCCTCCTGGGTTCAAGTGATTCTCCTGCCTCAACCTCCCAGGTAGCTGGGATTACAGGCATGCGCCACCACACCCAGCTAATTTTTTAATTTTTAGTAGAGGTGGGCTTTCACCATGTTGGTCGGGCTGGTCTTGAACACCTGACCTCAGGTGATCCACCCGCCTTGGCCTCCCAAAGTGCTGGGATTACAGGCGTGAGCCACCACACCCAGCTGGGATTTCTCTATCTTAACGAAATATTTAATTTATCTGGGACTAAATTGTTGGAAGTCCTTAGGCACACTTGACACATGTTTTGTGACATCTGACCATTCTTATCTCTTTGTGGACAGATTTCCCCAGGGACTTCTACCAACCAATGATTTTCTCTCCCGGTTTCAGATCTGTGTGTTCAAAAGTACCAAACGGCCTTTTGTCTTAGGTGATTTCGAATCACATTTTCCACAAATTTATTTCAGCTTGCATAGAATCATGCTGCTTTATCTAGGTTTAACTTGTCAGGATTTTCTTGGCATTTCCAGTGGGTCTTGACTCCTGGCGTGGTCCAAAATCTCTCCACTGAATGGCTGGGTTCAGAGAGGCTGAACTCTGCCACCTCTTACTTGAGACTAGACAAAAGCGCACAGTGGCCCCCTCCACCTCTCGCCCCTCTCATCCCACCTGGAGTGCAAAACATGCACTTTCAGATGAAACTTGACTTGTGCATTCTCAGGGTTGATGAGGGATTTCCCTGATCACAAAGGGGGTGAAATCTCCTCTCTGGCCACGTGCAGTAGAGCTGTACTCCCAGTGCAGCCACTTGGAAAACTTGGTGGCTAAGGAGGTCCAGTGCTGGGCTTCAGAGGGGGAGTTTCTAAGGGTTTTTATTTTTTAATTTTTAGAACTGAAAAAGTATTGCCAGGGCCCAGAAGCCACCTCATGCCCACTTCTTGTCACTACTCCCCAAGGTGAACCACTATCCTGAATTCTAACACTCCATTTTGAACTTTCTGTCAATGGAATATGATCTGTGCTTTTTTGTGAAAGAAGCTAGACACAAGAAAAGCACATATCCTATAATTCCCATGAGTCACACACATGCGTGTAGTTGTGTAGTTCATTCACATTCTCTTCGCTGATAATTTTCCGTTGTGTGGCTATTGCTTCCTTTATGCACCCATTCTGATGCTGATGGGAGTTTGCAAGTTTTTTTTTTTTTGTTTGTTTGTTTGTTTTTTTGAGATGGAGTCTCAGTCTTTTGCCCAGGCTGGAGTGCAGTGGCGCGATCTCAGCTCACTGCAACCTCTGCCTCTGAGGTTTGGGTGATTCTCCTGCCTCAGCCTCCTGAGTAGCTGGGAATACAGGTGTGCACCACCACGCCTGGCTAATTTTTTGTATTTTTGTTAGAGATGGGGTTTCACCATGTTGGCCAGGCTGGTCTCAAACTCCTGACCTTAAGTGATCCGCTGGTCTTGGCCTCCCAAAGTACTGGGATTACAGGCATGAGCCACTGCGCGCAGCCAGCTTCTGAGTCTTGTGAAGGCCTATCATTATTGTCCTTTCCTCACTCACAGCGTGCTTGAGGGAGAAAAGGCCACAGCCATGCAGGAGAATCGCTGTGTGTGGGCTCTGAAGTGCTCGCCTCAGTGAATCCATGGCTTATTAACACCTGCTCATTCAGCTTGAGTTTGGGAGTATTGTCGGTAGACGAGGCCTGCCTTGGTGTCCTGGAGTTGCTCCTTACTTTAAGCATTGTTCTGGGGTGGTGCTCACTCTTGACTTTGATCCTGGGGGAAGATGGTTATGGGGTGGTGGTGGCAGAACTCTGTGTGCATGTGCATGTGTGTGTATGTACATGTGGACAGTTACCCAAAGTGGGGTGACTGAAGGCCAGGTGAGAGGTGAGAGAAAGAGGGAACAACTGCATTATAAGTGGCTTCAGCTGATAATGTTATATCTCTTCTATTTTTCCCCCTAAGAAATGAACTTCTCTTGCATCTGAAGACCTACAACTTGTACTATGAAGGCCAGAATTTACAGCTCCGGCACCGGGAGGTAAGGAGTCCCCAGGGACGGCCCTGATTGGCTAGTCCAGGGCTTGTCACCATGTGTCCTGGGTCTGAAGGTCCCTGAGGTCCCAAGAGAACCCTGCCTCTCCTGCTTCTTATTTAGGTTGCTAGTGAGAGTCCTTGGGGTTCTTTGGAAGAAGACTCCAGGCCCAGTTTTGTTCCAAAAAGGATGAATGTTTCAGAGATGTGTTCCAGAGACATTCCTGTAGAAATGTGGCAGGGCTAGCCCAGTCTCATGGGGGAGATTCTCCAGAGGGAGCTTTCATGAAATGACCTTTCCAGGTGGCTCCCAAGCAGACGTTCTCTCGTTGGGCAATTCGGGAACCCCACCCAGTCCTCTGTGTTTAAACATTTGGGCCCAAGTCCTATCACTGCAGTGACCTGGGCAAAGCACATAAGCTCTGGATGTTAGCAGAGTCCCCACTGATAGTGGGCCCGTCCCCACACTTGGTCATCCTAGGTTGCTTTTGTTACTCATCTGATTCCCATCCTGAAACTGAGCTTACTCATCCTGTATCCATTTCTCTAAAGCCTGTTATCAGATAGATGATGAGTTATAAAGGAGTCTGGTAGGGTACTTTATACTCAAGCGCCTGTGACTGATAAAAAGGTCCCTATGTGTAATGCCCTTTGAAACACATTTTCAGGTTATCAAGCTGTGGCGATTTAACCATAGAAACAGATAACAGATGGTGGAATTTCAGCTGCTAGGGCAGGTTGCTTGGGGACAGTATGTGGGATGTAGTGGCCTATTCTGTGTCCCTCAAACCACTCCACTTAGACAAAATCCTGTTTTGGGTTAAATTTTGACCTACAATTGTGTAAAGGAATGATGCCCACCTTGACCAGGGGAAGGCCATGTAAATTGCCTATGTTTACATAAAGCCTTCCTCCCTGAGACGCCTAAGCACCGTAAAATTGTTTCATTTCTCTCCTTCCCTCTTTTATTCCTTCCTCCCTCTTTGAGGATGATTTTGGGGCCCAAGTTAGTTAGTTGCTCAATGGGCTGATGTTATTTTCACCTATGGGGCTTGTCCTGAAGATGTGTTCCATGACCCAGATCTAACACTTGAATAGCCCATAAAACATGGCTCCAAAAAGGTTTTTCTGAGACTAGAGGGAGGAGAACCGATTCTTTTAGGAACTGCCCTTCAAGCTTTTACTAATCAGCAGCTGGGCCATGCAAGATTTTAGTTCTTAAATAGCTTTCCTGGGTTATGTCCTATAGAATAAATGATTAAAAGTGCTTCATGATTAAAGGATTTCATAGTCATAAGCGAGTCCCAATTCTTCGGGATAGAACATATAAATGCCTCTAGAATGGTTTTACATTTAATGTCTAATTAGTCAGCAACCTTTGAGTATAAATTGGGGACTCCTGCAAGATTTATTCACCTGTTGGAGAGTTGTCATTTAGCCCGTTAGTTTATTACAGAACCTGGGACATTCTGCTGTTTGGAAATCTGATTAGCACAGCCTCTCCCAGCTCATGATCACTTGACACCCTTTTAAAGACAGCAGTTCATCTGCTAGAGGAGCTAGTGTTCTGTAGAATAAACTTCGGCAAATGTTGCTTTAAATTTCCTTCAACCACCAGGTTGGATTGCTAAACAGATGTTGTAGCTAAAGAGACATCATTTTCCGTAGTAGGGGATGGGACGTAGCTAACTCCAGTTCTTGCTTCTGTTAACAAGGCTAATCTCACTTATTTTAAGAAATGTATTCCGCTTTCTTTAAAAGTCATTAGGATAAAAAGAAAAACAATGCTTTTTATAATTTATACCTATGTATTTGAATTTCACAGCAACTTTTGTGCTGACCTGTGAGGTCAGCTTCAGGATCTGGAGTAGTTGACGTCAGAAAGTATCTCAGAGCTGCGGTGTGAACTGGGCAGCTGCCCCTATCCTGTGAATACAGTCTGGGGGCCCCCAGCCAGGACATGTGAAGAATGTGTCATTTGTCCCTCAGCATGGTCTTGGCTTCTGTGGGGGCTTTTCTAGGCTCACTACTCTGATTGCTTTGTGGGCAGGAAGAAGACGAGTTCATTGTGGAGGGGCTCCTGAACATCTCCTGGGGCCTGCGCCGGCCCATTCGCCTGCAGATGCAGGATGACAACGAACGCATTCGACCCCCTCCATCCTCCTCCTCCTGGCACTCTGGCTGTAACCTGGGGGCTCAGGGGTGAGTGAGGAGAGACGGGGCAGGGAGATGACTGGGATGCTTGGGTGTTCTATGTGTTCTCAAGCAGATAAATGCTGCCTTCTTCCAGCCAGCCCTGACCCTGGCTCCTCCTCCTACTACCTCTACTGCCCACCTGCCTTAGCCTTGGAATGAGGAACAAGCAGCAGATGTGGTTGTGATTGAGCCCCCTTCCTGTCACTGCAATCACTGATGAGGTCACAGGAGGGGAGCTGCTGAGTCATACGAGGGGAGCTGCTGAGTCAGAGTCCTCCCTTAGGGAGAACTCAGGAGTCTCTGAGTGGAGCTGCTAGTGGCTAGTGAGGCCCAGCCTGTATATTTCTAACAGGGCGCCCCATGCCCCAGCACCCTCCCCACTGGGACCACTCCTCATAGAATAGCCCCACTCCAAAGCATTTATGACTTGAACCTTCTGACCAAAGCTCTCTGAATCTTGGGGGAACCTAGAAGAGGAAAAGGAATGTCAGGCTCTGTCAGAGTCAGCCAAGCGAGATCAGCCAGGGGTCTGCTCCCTGCAGACCATACGGGGAGCCAGGGTTTGGTGAGATGGTGGTAGTCTAAGTTCCCACCAGAAGGGCTGGGAAGACCTAGTCCATCCCTCCTTATCCTCCATGGCTGAATAAGCCGCCAAATGCGCCGCCAAATGCCTCTAGCAAGGCATGCCCTCTTTATTGTCTTTCTGGGACTTGAGTTTTAGGATCAAGTGACTAGCCTGTCTCCATCCTGAAACCTGCTGATGCTGACTGCCTTCGGCCCCAGCCTGGGTGGAGTGTGCTCGCCTCTCAGCCAAAACCACAGTGACCTTTTTTTCTGGTTTAAATGAAAACCAAGCCCTCTCTGTTGGCCACATTGAACATTTTGCTAAACTCCACAGCCAAATCTATGTTTCTCTACAATTGAGAGAAACCTACTATGTGGCCAGCCCTGGGGCTGGTCTGGTTTCTTTCCAAGGGGATTTAAGGAGGAAAATTGTTGCCCACCCCATAGGTGCTAGGATGTCTGGTTAAGGTTCTTTGGTTTCATCTAACTTTGCAGGTTTCATGCTCTGCTTTTCAGCACTATCACCATATTTTTGTTTTGTTTTGTTTGAGACAAGGTCTCACTCTGTTTCCCAGGCTGGAGTGCGGTGGCTTAATCACAGCTTACTGCAGCCTCAACCTCCTAGGCTCAAGTGATCCTCCCAACTCAGACTCCCCAGCAGCTGGGACTATAGGTGCACACCGCCCCACCCCGACCTTTTTTTTTTCTGTTGCCCAGGCTGGAGTGCAGTGATGCGATCTCGGCTCACTGCAACCTCTGCCTCTCGGGTTCAAGCGATTCGTGCCTCAGCCTCCTGAGTAGCTGGGATTACAGGTGCCCACCACCAAACCCAGCCATTTTTGTATTTTTTGGTAGAGAGGGGGTTTCATCATGTTGGCCAGGCTGGTCTTGAACTCATGACCTCAAGATATCCACCTTCCTTGACCTCCCAAAGTTCCGGGACCACAGGGGTGAGCCACCATACTGGCCCTACCTGGATAATTTTCATGTTTTTTGTAGAAATGGGGTCTCACTATGTTGCACAGGTTGGTCTCAAACTCCTGGCCTCAGGCAATCCTCCCACCTTGACTTCCCAACGTGCTGGGATTACAGGTGTGAGCCACCATGCCCAGCTGTACTTGTTACACTGTACTGTATTTGTTATACTATACTGTATTTGTTATACTATACTGTATTATTGCTGTATTTGACTGCCAATGGCCAAGCCCATTTCACAGCCTGACCCTGACCCCCAGACTATTCTATTCCCTAAGTGAGATGATTTTTAAGATTTCGTTTGAGCCTGTGGCCTTTGGTTTGGGCTGCTAAAGGGTCCTTCGGTCCGCCTGCTTCTTCTCCCTTCTCTGCGGCATCAAGCTGGTCCTGGCTGACTCTGCAAAATACTTTGGTAGAATTTTCAGGAATGGTAAATGGTGTCATTTAGATGTCAGCTATAATACAGTGAATGCCTAGACTGCTGTCTTAAGAAGGATCCTGAGGCTGTGCGTGGTGGATCGTGCCTATAATCCCAGCACTTCGGGAGGCTGAGGCGGGTGATCACTTGAGCTCAGGAATTCAAGACCAGCCTGGGCAACATGGTGAAACCCTGTCTCTACAAAAAAATAAAATAAAAAAAAAAAATAAGGATGCTGAGACCGGTTCCTGCTTCAGCAAGAATGAAGGCTTTAAATCAGGGAGTGGGAGTCGCTGCTCTGGGTGCCAAGTGTTCACCATTCCCCAGAAGCTCTGACCAGGTCCATTCTGTGGTTCAGAAGTATATGAGTTAAATTACAATAGGAAGTTCTTTCAGATTTTCCATTTTAATTGTCCTTCCTTAAAACGATCCTCCCCAGAACATGAGGTTTATCTCTACTGGGTCCCAGGGAGCCCATGCTCTTCTCACCATGGGTTGTTCCTAATTGGTCAAATATGATTCTCCTTTCTAGCCAAATCCTCTGTTGATTTTGGATGTTTTTCTGAGCTGCTCCCTTTGTCCTTTTTGGCTTTGAGAAGTTATTTGCCAGTTATGATGGCAAACCAGGGTCTCAGCTTGGACTGCCTGCTTGTAACCCTTTCTTCAGCTTGGATGAGGACTCCATCCTTGCAACGCTGAGAACACTGTCAGTGTCCCTTCCAAAGCTGCCCCTGCCCTTGTTGTGGCCAACTTATTACTTTCCATTCCTTTTGAATGCCAGAAGCAATTATGAGTTATTTCTTCAACAGCAATGAGTCTAAACTGGAATCTTACCCTGCAAAACGAATGGCCACTATTAGAGTTTTCCAAGTAAGCCATAGAATCCATACATGCTTAGAAGCAGTGCAGGCAACACGTGGGTTTTGTTCCTTGGTATTATCCATCCTGGGCTTGATGAATTGGTTGGGTGTGTTACTGCAGTTGCTGCAAAAGAACATCTTCTCCCTCCGGAACTCCCCCTGCCCCACCCACTGCTTGACCTGGGAGCTGGGCCAGCCTTTCACGGGATGCTCCGCGCAGCCCATCTGCACCCTTCATCACCTGATGTGTGCCAGTACCCAGCCTGGCACTAGCAAAGTGCTCCCCTTTCAGGAGTGGGGTCCAGCGGGTGCGGGGGCGTCTCTCCACAGGGCTTAAACTAGTCTCCCCCCTCCCCTTTGTCTTCTCCACTCCCAGAACCACTCTGAAGCCCCTGACTGTGCCCAAAGTTCAGATCTCAGAGGTGGATGCCCCGCCGGAGGGTGACCAGATGCCAAGCTCCACAGGTACATGTGAGTGGAAGGTACTTCCAGCTAGGGACCAACTGTGTGAAGACCGCTGTGATAGATGTTGTAAACTGTTATTTATTTTTGAGAATATAAAATGTATATGGTTCAAGATACAAAGGGAGAGAATTAAGTCACCCACCTCATCCACCCACCTAGAAGCATCCCGAGAACATCCTTCGTGGGATAGTCCATGCAAATATAAGCAAAACACACTGACATGTCTTTATGGGTGGATGTAGTTTCTTTCCCCCTCCCCTCCCCTCCCCTCCCCTCCCCTCCTCTCCCCTTCCCTTCCCTTCCCATCTCCCTCTGTCACTCAGGAGGATGCAGTGCAGTAGTGCAATCTTGGCTCTGCTTCCTGGGTTCAAGTGATCCTCCCACCTCTGCCTCCTGAGTAGCTGGGATTAAAGGCATGGGCCACCATGCCCAGCTAATTTTTGTATTTCTAGTGCTGATGGGTTTTTGCCATGTTGGCCAGGCTGGTCTTGAACTCCTGGCTTCAAGTGATCTGCCCGCCTCAGCCTCCCAAAATGCTGGGATTATAGGCATGAGCCACCGCGCCTGGTTGGATGTAGTTTCTTTTCTTCCCCTAGTTATACAAGTGGTAGCATTGTGCAGATCCCAGTTTTTATTTATCAGTTTATCTGGGGGAATGTTTCCATATACATTTGTAAAGAACTTCCTTATTCTTTACAGCTCTGCATTCTTTCACTGTATGGAAAAAGGATAATTTATGTAATCACTCCCTACTGGTAGACATTTAAGTCATTTTCAGCCTCTGCTATGACAAACGAGTTTGCAGTCGGCGGCCTTATACATGTGTCACGTCACACATTTGTCAGCGTGTAGGATTCTTTCAAGTGGACTTTCTGGGTTTAAGGCCATATGCATTTTTAATTTTCATAGATATTGTCAGTTTGCAAAATCTTTTTTATATTACGTGGATTAAATATATTTTAATAAGAGCAGATTAACCTACTTGTGATTAATGTCAGTATTGTATATTTATACACATACAAGGATAGACATATGCCATGGGAACCCCACATATTTTTAGATACATGTTCTGTTAAACATTATTTTTTCTAATTTTTTATTGTGGTAAGATATACATAACATAACGTTTACCATCTTAACCATGTTAAGTGGTACAGTTCAGTGGTATTAAAAGCACTCATAATGTTGCGCAACCATCACCACCATCCATCTCCAGAACTCTTTCCATCTTGTGAAACTGAAACTCTGTACCCATTAAACTCCCAATAGCTCCCCACATCCTTCTCTCTTTAGCTCCTGGCAACCACCATTCTACTCTCTGTCTCTGTAATTTTGTATGTACCTAGAATGTACTTACAGTGTACCTCAATTATATGTGGTACACTTATATGAGGTACACTCTAAGTATCTCATATAAGTGGAATCATTCAGTATTTGCTGTTTTGTAATTGGCTTGTTGCACTTAGCATAATGTCATCAAGGTTCATCCGTGGGTAGCATGTGTCAGAGTTTGTTTGCAGTATCTTGTTAGCTCTTATATCATGCTTATCCTGTGCCAGGCACTATTCTAAGTGCTTTATGTATACTAACTCATTTAAACCCTCAGCAACCCTCTGAGGTGGGTGTTATTATTATCCCTATTTTATATATAAAAGCACCGAGGCACAGAGAGGTTAGTGATATATGGCAATCATGGAGCAGGGATTTGAACCCAGGGAGTCCGGCTCTGAAGTCTGTTCTCTGAACTTTTCCTTGTATAGGTTCTCTGTAAATTCTGCATTATGTTTTTCCCCCAGCAGAAAATATTATTTGTATAAAATATATATTTGTGGAGACAGTGGGTGCTGTCGCACTGGCCACAAATTGGGGACCATGTGCCATGTCCCAGGTCCAGACAGACAGAGTTCATTTCCCTCTCCTCTCTCAGACTCCAGGGGCCTGAAGCCCCTGCAGGAGGACACCCCACAGCTGATGCGCACACGCAGTGATGTTGGGGTGCGTCGCCGTGGCAATGTGAGGACGCCTAGTGACCAGCGGCGAATCAGACGCCACCGCTTCTCCATCAACGGCCATTTCTACAACCATAAGGTAAGGTGGACAGGGGGACGGGGAGGGTGGAAGACCTCTTCCTGGGTAGATGCCACCTCAGGGCTACAGCCATATGGTGGGTGGTGTGGATGCCTGGGAAGCCAAGTGTTTGCTGCTGTTTAGTCTTTGGGTTGTGGGTGGGCTGCAAGCCCTGCTGGCTTCCTGAGGGCTGAGGGACCCCAGGTCAGAAGCCTCAAAGTCCCCCTGTGGGTTCCCCTTAAGGTGGTGGGTGAATTCAGTGGGGCTGTACAAAGCAGTCCCTGCTGTAGCCTTGAAGACCCCATAAACGCAGCTCATCAGTCTCTCCCAAGAAAATCCACGTGTTACCCTCTTCCTGCACACTGTGCCCCCAGCTGGTGTATGGTCTGGCTTTTCCCAGAGCTGAAGCAGAGCTGCAGGTCTCAGACCTGGGGTGTCAGTGCACCACCCACCCCACCCCATCTTGCTGATCCCTCCTTTCCTCCTGCTTTGTTCAAATCCTACCCCCGGAGGCAATACATGGTGGGAGAGTGGTCAGAGACAGCCTTGTGCTGAAGTCCCAGAGGAAGGGTCTTTTTGAGCGTGGAGCATGAACTGAATTATGCAAACCCCGAGGGTTGCTTTGTCTACAAAGCCTGCTGCTTGCCAGTCTGCCGGGGGCTCCCAGGGAGTACATTCTGAGTATCGTTGTCACTGTGCCCTGTACCGCACCTGGATTTTAGCACTGGGTCCTTGTTCCCACTCCCACCCTGAGCTGGGCCCTTCTATTGACAGACATCCGTGTTCACACCAGCCTATGGCTCTGTCACCAACGTCCGCATCAACAGCACCATGACCACCCCACAGGTCCTGAAGCTGCTGCTCAACAAATTTAAGGCAAGTTCCCTTTGCTGAGTGGCCACAGATGGGGTCACAGCTGTGCCTTGGGACTCCTAGAGTGGTTGTGCGAGGAGCTATGGAAATTGTGTGTTTTGTGGGATGCTGAGCAGAGGGCTTCGGTTCTTTAGATCCTCACGATCCAGGACAAAGTCCACAGAATCAGCATCAGCATCACCTGGGTGCTTGTTAGAAATTCAGATTCTCAGGCCCCACCCCAGACCCACTAAATCAGAAATTGTGAGGGGTAGGCCAGGGACGCCGTCTAACAAGCCTGCAGGGGATTTGGATGCCTACCGAAGTTTGAGAAACATCAGCCCTCAAATCCTTTATGGGCTACTTTAGAAGGACCCTGGGGCCTGCTGACTGGTTTTGGGCTCAGTGCGAAGATTGACTTCTGGGACACAGTTGGGAAACCTACTTTGAAATATGATACTTAAATAGACGTGCAAATTATAGTGCAGGAGTGCTTTTAAAGTTCTGTTGCTCTGTGTTTTCCACAATCTCTTGGAGACCAGAGATCTTTTGGAGACCAGGTGTTCTTATTTTTAATGGAAGCCAGTGTAGCCTAACAACCTAAGAACACAGGCTCTGGGTTCAAATCTCCACTGAGCACCTGCTAGTTGGATGAATTGGGCAGGTTACTTAACCTGCCCCTGCCTCTGCTTCGTCATCATAAAATGAGGATAATGGGACTTCACTATGGTATCGTCGTGAGCATTAGATGGGTTGAAGCCTTTAACATTTGTAGAACTATGCCTGGCACATTGCAATAGACGATAGCTGTTATCTATCCTAGTCGTGTGCTACAGAATGACCAATTTGGTCAATGATGCACCACATATACGACAGTGGTCCCGTAAGATTATAATCCATTTTTTATGGTACCTTTTCTGTGTTTAGATATGTTTAGATACACAAATGCTTACCATTGTGTTACAAGTGCTTACGGCATTGAGTACAGTAACATGCTGTATAGGTTTGTACACTAGGAGCAATAGGCTATATACCATATGGCCTAGGTGTGAAGTAGGCTATGCCATCCAGGTTTCTGTAAGCACACTCTATGATGTTTGCACAACAATGAAATTGCCTAGTGACACATTTCTCAGAATGCATCCTCGTGGTTAAGTGCATGACTGTATTATTGATAAAGTCATCTGCCTTCTCGATCTTCTCATCACTTCTGAGAGTTGTAGATAAATAGCTCTCCCCTCAAAACAGCCTAAAATTGACTTAGCTTTGCATTGCTAAAGAAGAGGAAAAGCCTCGAAGTTGGGATGTTTAAATAGAAACTTTCAACAAGAATCTTTTGCTCCTGCTTCAGATTGAGAATTCAGCAGAGGAGTTTGCCTTGTACGTGGTCCATACGAGTGGTGGTAAGTCTGAAGACCACAGTGTACTTTAAAACTTCTAATTAACTCAAAATAGCAAGTTAAAAAAATACCTCTGCCTCCTTTGCTTGTTGTTTGAGTTTTGGAAACTTCCAAATGTTGTTTGCCTTCAAGGCTGATGGGCTTGCTGTATGAGTCTACTAGGGATTGCCTTATATGGCCAGTAAACAAATTCTAAACCTAACTGCCTATTAAAAGAGGAACTAGATTTTCTTAAGAGACAGATAAACCCAATTCCTCCAAGGAGTTTGAGGCATGGTGGTATTGTTGAGGGGTGAGGAGTGGGAGGAAGTTGCTTTTCACAACACCTATGGAATAGTTCACTTATAAATCAGTCTCCTGACGTATATGGCGGCATCTCCTAAGGTGCCTTTGGACCCCTGCATTAACCACTACTTAATGTGAGAAAGGCCTCTCAGGGCTGCTCCTGGGTGTGTGTGGTTGCAGAGAAACAGAAGCTGAAGGCCACCGATTACCCGCTGATTGCCCGAATCCTCCAGGGCCCATGTGAGCAGATCTCCAAAGTGTTCCTAATGGAGAAGGACCAGGTGGAGGAAGTCACCTACGACGTGAGTTCCCTTTGGGTCAGGCGATCTGTCCTCAGGAGGGTGGGGATTTGGTTGGACCACCTGTAACTGGGGTATAGAATGACTTTTTTGACCAACGACCATGCCCCCTTTTACTTCTTCAGCACCAGGTTCTCTCGAAGCCAGCTTTTGCAGAGTAACAAACATCTCCAAATCATAGTAGCTGACAACAGCAAACATTTGCTTTTTTGCCCATGATTCTGTGGTCTAGTAGCAATGGCTCTACTCTAAGTATGGGTTGAGTTCAAGTCTGCACTGTGTGACTCACCCAGAGGCCCAGGCTTTTGGGGCAGTAGTTACTGCACATGGGTGTGGTCCTCATGGCAGATGGCGGAGCATGAGAAACCAGGCCAAATCATGTAAGCATATTTGAAGCCTCCACTCAGATTTGGTGTGTCATGTCCACACACATTCCACTGGCCAAAGCCAGTCACATGGACAAGCTCAGCATTAATAGGGTAGAGAAATGTACTTATCCCAGGGAGAAGAGTTGATAGAGCAGGGTGGGGATTCTTGTGGGGAAAGGGAAGCCATTTTTTAACTTTTTTTTTTTTTTTGGGATGGAGTCTCGCTCTGTTGCCCAGGCTGGAGTGCAGTGGCACCTCCCTGGTTCAAGCTATTTTCCTGCCTCAGACCCCTGCGTAGCTGGGACCACAGGTGTGCACCACCATGCCTGGCTAATTTTTGTATTTTTAGTAGAGACGGGGTTTCACCATGTTGGCCAGCTGGTCTTGAACTCTTGACCTCAAGTGATCCGCCCGCCTCAGCCTCCCAAAGTGCCGGGATTACAGGCATGAACCACGATGCCTGGCACCGTTTTTAAACTTTAACTCACCCCATAGCCACCCACAGCCTCTCCAAAGCGAGTTCATATTTGGATGCTTGTTTGAGCCTTGAGACCCAAATCGTCATCTGGAACCCTGATTCCTTCCATTCTCTTAGGGGAGAACAAAGGGGTTTATTAAACATAATGGGTTCAGTTCTTTCTCTGCATCACTGTGTCAAAAGAAAGTACTTTTCTGTGTTTGGCTTCACCTCATCATGAATTGAATGCATGACATGAAAAATGAGAAGTTATGAGATGGTGTCACGTAAGCGAAGCGATCATCGCAGACTCCTTCCCACCCTGGTGAGGAATGAGGCTTGGCTGCTGCCTTTAAGGAAATCCTGGGTTTCTGAAAAAAATAGACTTCCCAAGGCTTTGTGCCTTGTATAAGGACAACCCTGAAAGGAATTGGAATAATGCTGGGAAGGGCATTCACCCAGACTTGCTTCTTTCTCTCTAGGTGGCCCAGTATATAAAGTTCGAGATGCCGGTACTTAAAAGCTTCATTCAGAAGCTCCAGGAGGAAGAAGATCGGGAAGTAAAGAAGCTGATGCGCAAGTAAGTGTGGCTTCTGGGGCACTGGGTGCACTTCTCCTGGGGCCTCAACAGAGGGGCCTCTGCTGGGTCCTCGCAGGGACTGTGCTGAGCTGCTGCATGGGCCTGAGTCTCGGCTTTCTTTGGAGGGCTGCCCATTGACAAACCTGGATTTCAAGTGAGGACGTGACAGTTAAGTGTGTTCATCTACTTCTTGTGTCAGCTTCTCGTTTTGATGTGGGACATCAAAGTGTCTCTTGTCCTCCCTCTTATGGAAAGACTCTGAAAAGAAGGTGTTGGTTTAAAATTTCTTTGGGGTCTAGATGCAGAAATAGGGAAGGTGACTGTACGCTGGTTTCTTAAGTATACGATCAGGCTCCCAGCAGGAGACAGATGCTCACTCCGATGAGGGTCTTTGACGGGTGTTTGAAGAAGGGACTATTTGCGAAGACTTGGGCAGAGTCTGGGGTAACCTCAAGGGATAGTGCAGTCCCTGGGGCTAGTGTTACCACCCCTTGCCTGAAGGGGTGAAGGCAAGGAGTGCTAACCAAGACCCGGAGGTTCCAGGGATTTCAGGAAGGCTGTCTTAGCCGTGGATGTAGCCTGAGCTACTGGCCTCCAAAATCCTCTCCTCTCCCCCTTCCTCCCTTTGTAACATTTATCTTCTGGAAATTGCATTTGGATTGAAAAATAAAGCGGCTTTCTGGGAAGGATTTTGTGATTTCTTTGCTATGTTTAGTCATAGAAGAGACTGCCTTTCATAGATATGGTGGAATTAATGATTCATTTTTGCCACTGGAGAATAAAGCCGCTGCTGGATTTGCTGTATCGATGATCATAACTAGTCTGATAACACACTGAACACTTACTATGTCCTAAAGTTTTTGTTGTTGTTGTTGTTGTTTTGTTTTGTTTTGACACAGAGTCTTGCTCTGTTGCTCAGGCTGGAGTGCAGAGATGCGATCTCGGCTCACTGCAACTTCTACCTCCCAGACTCAAGTGATTCTCCCGTCTCAGCCTCCCCAGTAGCTGGGATTACAGGCATGCGCCACCATATCTAGCTATTTTTTTCTTTCTTTCTTTTTTTTTTTTTTTTTTTGTATTTTTAGTAGAGACGGGGTTTTGCCATGTTGGCCAGGCTGGTCTTGAACTCCTGACCTCAAGTGATCCACCCTCCTCGGCCTCTCAGAGTGCTGGGATTGCAGGCGTGAGCCACCATGCCCAGCCAACTATGTCCTAAACTTTAAAAATAGCTTTTTCTGTGCAGCACAAATCCCTGAACATAAGGAATATGTCCATTGATCCCTGCACAACAGTGCCCACTCCTGCAGCTGCAGTGCCACGGCTCAGGGAAGTCGTGGGAAAACAGAACTCCCCCCAAGCCACGGACCTCCACGCCTAGTAGCTGCTATGGCCTCTTCTGCAAAATGCAGGTTCTGTTATAAGGTTGAACCATACGAAGTTGCCATTTTTGTAGGATCCCCAAGAGGGTCAACTGTTAGCAATTTTATATCATCTAGCCTAGGTGAGGGTTCATGAGCTGCTGTGCATATGAAGTACTATGCATAGTGTCTTGGACATAGTAAGCAAACGCACTGAATTCGTAGAATGCTTATTATTGCTGTTGTTTTTTTTTACCTTTTTTTTTTTTTTTTTTTTTTTGGCTAGATGTTCTACCCATAGTAAAATAATCTAATTTGGATTTGGCCTCTTTATTTCCTCTCATCGTGTTGTAGGAATGAACATAAGCAACAAAGTAGCTAAAGAGGGGTCAGTAATGGAAGCAAAGGAGCAGGGCACTTGACTGCACTGTTACCTGGTGTGACCTTGGTGTTACCCAGGTGGCCGGGAAGGTCCTGGGCAGGGGTGTGTTGCTGGCTGCTCTCCATCTGAGCCTGTTTCTTGTCTCCAGGTACACCGTGCTCCGGCTAATGATTCGACAGAGGCTGGAGGAGATAGCCGAGACCCCAGCAACAATCTGAGCCATGAGAACGAGGGGATCTGGGCACCCCAGGAACCGCCATTGCCCATAAGACCCCCAGGAAGCTAGGCACTTTCTTTCCATGGAAACATTTAGACACAAACCTCCCCAGCTCCGGCCAAGCCATCATTTGCTACCTGGAGCTGGATGTAGAAGTCAGCAGACAGCTCCCTATCCCTGGACCCCTGCCCTCCTTTTTTCTGCTCACAAGGACTTTTGATTTTAGTTATAAGGAGGACCCAAAATGTGTGTGTGTACATGTGTGTGCACACATGGTACGTGTCCATGTGCCTACCTGATACTTTCACATGTAATTAAATTCCAGGCAACCAGCACAAGAGCCGTGAGCTTGGCACATGTGCTGCTCGTGAGCAGGAAAATCAGAGGAGCCACTGATCTGAGTGGTATTTAGGTTGAAGGAAAGATTTCTCCTCTCAAGTGCCAGGGAGCAGCCACACGTCTGTCTGTGTTTAGAGAGGGAAGAGGGTTCTCCAGGTTCACCATTTGGGTTGTTTATATGTTGGTAGAAATTCTCCCTGTATGCCTAGAAGGATCAGTGAATGTAAGAGCCTTGGAAATTAACAAAATAACAGCCACATAACCTTGCGGCAAGTCTGATGGAAAGAAAAAGATAAACCATCCGTGGGGTAGATGCAATAAGCCCACGTATTTTTACACTGGAAACGTTGATTGTTTTAAATGACAAAGACATATGTGATGTTCTATGTGGAAACCTGTGAAGAGTGGATTCTGCCTCCATCTCTGCCTCCATGGCTACCTTTAGGAGACAGAGAAGATCCTGTGTGTTTCTCTGTACCCAGCTGACAGCCTGTCTCTATGGCGCTTCCTTGAGTGGAAGGAAATGTCTCAAGAAACAAAGATCTCGCTGGTGCGTACACAGTGCTGACCAGCTAGTGTGGCCAGGGCCTGGTGGCCTGGTGGCCAGGAAGTTTCAGGTTGAAGGGAAATGTCGAGGCTACCTGCAGATATGACAGGTGCCTTGAACGCAGCCCATCTTCATGTCATCAAAGGTCTTCCTGCACTTGAAGCTGGGGCGATGTTTGCAGTCAAGACCATTCTTTCCAACCTCTGGGTTCTTGCAAGTTGCCCTCACCTTGTGTGTGGAGATGCATTCCAAGAATGAAGCCTCATCTTGCTACTGAGTGTGGGGTTCAGGGAAGCTCTTTAGGCCACCTGGTGAAGGTGCATGGGGAGGATGGAGCTTCTCCTCAGCTCCTCTGAGCAGCCACCTATGTGATCTTTAAATCCAACCCCAATGGGAGAAAAGGGCAAGAACAGTCTGTGCCCTGGGACTCCTATCAGGAAGCTTGACAGGCAGCTGGGCATCAGTGCAGCTGATATCGTTTGAGGAGGGAGACAGATGCTTGGACCTGGGTGCCTGGCTATGGAGATTGACCAAGCAAGATCAGGAGCTCCTGATAGCAGGCGTCTTTGAGCCTAGCTGGGGTAGAGGCACTGCCCATCTCTTCTCCACCTTCTCTCCACAGAATGTTTGCAGAGCTGGGCAGTTGAGGAAAGGACAGCCCCTGGTTGGTGCCTCCAAAGGAAGGTGGACTTTTTTGGTGGAGACGTTTCTGCCCTGGGCACCCTCCTGCCCCCGATTCATACCTATGGCTTCTTGAGAAGGCTCACAGCTGTGGTCTTAACGTAGACTGCAGAAAGATGGCATGCGGCCCCTGGCATTTCGCCAAGGGTTTTATAGCAAGTCTCCTTCCTCCATAGGGACAGCAGCACCAGCCCTGTGGGGCATGGAGTGGAAGCCCAGAAGGGCTTCTGCAAGCTGCACAGAACTGGGGTAAGAAGACAAAGAGTAGCCACCGGGAGAGGCTTCCTTTGTTACAGCTGGGAAAGAACAGTTCTGTGAATGCAAACACCTCCTGAGTTTTGCAATTGAGAAAATGATTTGGAGAACTTCTCTTCTGGTAATTTTTATTTTGAATGTTCAGGGCCTTAGTTGGCCCCAGTAATTCTCCTTGGAGGACTTGGGAGAAGAATTTCCACAAAGCAAACTACTAACCACTAGCTCTTACTGGACAGCGATTTCTGGCTTATAAGAGTTCTCTTTGATTTGCACTAGCACTACGATAGTGTTAGATGGGGAAATACTGCAACATGTCCAGTTGGCCAGATCACTTTCCAAGGGAGCGATACTAAGGCAGACTCAGCTTTTTAAAGATGGGAGGTCAGGAGGTGGAAGTGAGAGGAGATCCCATCTCACACAACACACTTCCACGTAATGCAGACCACACTTTTCCATTTTGTCCTGCCCTCTTGAGAGGTCATTTCTCACGTCCTAAGAACCTGATCAGAAATTTTGGAAGGGTTCTTTGAAATAGCAGCAGTTGAAACAGAGACACTTTGCCACAGTGTGGAGCAGATTTTCTCACTGGTATCACATGGTCTTGCAGTTTTGAACTCTTCGACCGATTTGTGGGAGTTTATGTAATTGCGTGCAATGAACCTGAAATTGTGTAAAGGACAAAAGACCAGTTTATAGGGTTGGGTTTTTTTTCCAACTTGTGAAAAGCAGTTTAGCTGCATCTGTCTCCCCACCACCCCCACCCCGGGAGGGGCTTATGTTACAAGGTGATCAAGTGAAGGAAAAACCTGAGCCTATCTGGCTGGGATGGTGGAATTAAGCACAAGGTCACATTCTCTGTGATCACATGAGAGGGAAGGTGATGACTTAAATGGCAGGGGGTGGGGATTATCTTGGGGAGAGGCTGAAAAGCACAAAAGATAGTCTTCCCTGTACGTATTGGTGAAGAACGTGCACAAGGCTGGATGGACTTCAACTTGGAGTTGAGTTGAGGCAAGAGGATTTCTGGATATTAGTCACCCATCTGCAAGAAAAATGCTGAGGCCTCGGGTCAAGATTTTGATCTGAGACATGCTGATGCTTCAAGGAGAAATATTTTCACAATCCTCTCTTCCCTCACCAGAAGAGAACAGTACTCTCTCCTAGAAACCTCTAGGTAAACACATTTTATCCTAATATCGGTAGCATATAATGCCCCCCCCAAAATATCTGTTTTCCATGCAAAAAAGTCTCAACAAGAAGTCTGTGGAGTTGAGTGGTTACTTCAAAGTGTCAGGAGAGTGAAGAAATTGGCCACAGAAGAGCAAGAAGCTCTCTTAAGAAAAGGGAATTCTCTTTAAAGAAACCACCACCAACAACAAAACAACCAAAAACCATGTTTTATGTCAAAGCTCTGTAGCACAGAGAATGTGGTGTCACAGATACATCGCCGAGAGAGGTTTCTTTCTTTCTTTTTTTTTTTTTTGAGACAGAGTCTGGTTCTGTTTCCCAGGCTGGAGTGCAGTGGTGGGATCTCAGCTCACTGCAACATCCGCCTCTGGGGTTCAAGTGATTCTCCTGTCTCAGCCTCCCAAGTAGCTGGAATTACAGGGACCCGCCACCACGCCCGGCTAATTTTTTTGTGTGGTTTTAGTAGAGGTGGGGTTTCACCATCTTGGCCAGGCTGGTCTTGAACTCCTGACCTCGTGATCCACCCGCCTAGGCCTCCCAAAGTGTTGGGATTACAGGCGTGAGCCACTGTGCCCAGCCAAAAGAGAAATTTCTACATGAACAAGGCAATTTCAGTGTCTTACAGCGGCCAAACCATGACGTGAAGAATGAGATAGGAGACAGGAGATCACCATAAGCGTCCCTGATATAGCAGCACACATTTTCACGTTTCCACTTAAATCGTTTTGCACAAAGTCTTGCTTCGCTCAGATGAGATGAGATATGATTTCCTAGAGATGTAAAAATAAGAATGAATGTGGCGCCCCCTTCTTCCAGATGTAATAGAAAGCTCTGCCCTATCACAAGGGGGGTGTTGAAGCGCCCCTTGTGTTTTAACTGTATTTAACTGAGCACAAGATGCACAAGCTGTGGTGGGAAACCCTCAGTTTACCTTTGGAGTCTTCCCTGCAGATCGCAGACCTGTTTCCAGGCTGATGTTTCTGGTGTGTAATTGCTAGCGTTTCTGAAGGGTTTTCCCAATTGTTTTAGCCTTGTGAAGTATTCTTAATTATAACTTGCCTTTCAGCGATGGTACATGACTTGATTCAACGTTTGGTTCTGAACTTACACACTGATGCGTTTACTCATCTAACATAATCTGACAGGGCCTCAGCAAGGGAGCCATACATTTTTGTAACATTTTGATATGTTTTAATGCATCTGACTTAGATCTTACTGAAATAAAGCACTTTTCAAAGAGATGTGCCCCGTGGATGGGTCTGTGTGTGACTGCTGGCTGCGGGAGCTCTGTGTTGTGAGAGGGTGGTTGTAAGGTGGGTGACAGGAACAGGAAGGAGCACCCACCAGATAAGTTAATTTTCTTCCCCAAGTTTATGGTTTGAACATGTTTGGGCCTGGCTGTTACGTCCCAAATAGGAAGTAAAATGAGAAGGTTGTCTTAGGAGCTGCCAGTTGAGGGCTCTGGAGAGCCAGGAGTTGTGGAGGAAAGAGCTTGGAACTTCTATTCAGTGAGGCTGGATTTCCACTCTCACTCCACCCCTTCCTCTTGGACCCTGGGACCAACTCAATGATCCTTTCTCTAGGACTTGGTTTTCTCACCTGTAAAATGGCTAAGCCCCCCTGCAGGGGTTGGGCACCTGGGCTTGCTTCTGTTGGAAGCATCCCCCCATGGCTCCCCAAGTGTGAGATTTTCAGACTAGGGCCCAAGTTCCACCCTATGGTACGGGGAAGGTATGATATCTAATTTTATATGTCAACTTGGCTAGGCCATACAGCCCAGATATTTGGTCAAACACTAGATGTTACTATGAATTTGTTTTTTTTTTTTTTAAGTTGAGATTAACATTTAAATCAGTGGACTTTGAGCAGTCTGCCCTCCATAATGTGGGTGGGCCTCACCCAATCAGTTGAAGGCCTTAAGAACGAAGACTGAGATCCCAGAGAAGAAGGAATTCTGCCTCAAGACTGCCTTTGGACTTGAACTACAGGATCAATTATGTGAACCAATTCCTTAAGCTCTGTCTCCCCACACCCACACCTCTCTCTCTCTCTCTACACACACACACACACACACACACACACACACACACACACACGCACAATCTTTGGAGAACCCTGACTAATACACAGAAATAATTTCATTTGTTCATAAAGTTTAATATGAGATTTGACGGTTGTCTTCCTAAGAAACCTGGCCATGGAGCAGAAATAGTGACCATTATAATTTGGCCTCTAGAAGAAGGTAACAACCAAGACCAGATTTTTAATGATGCTTCTGTAAACAATGCATATATAAGTATGAAAGAGAGAGAGAGATGGGGAAGGAGGGAGAGAGAGACAGAAAGAAAGTGTGGATAAATCACAGTTCCCTTGGAGTGTTGTTTCGATTTCCCATATTTAGAGTTTTTAATTCAAAGAGAGCTTTTCAGTTGCCGCTTTTAAGTTGGGTGAAACAGATGAGCAGTTAACCCTTCCAAGGTAGTGAGACTTTTGTACAGTGCATCATGTAGATGCAGGTGATATACACTGAAGATAAATGGTTCATCTGGAGTCCAACCACGACCCCCCAAAATGCAGTAAGCCTTGTAGGAGTTACAGTGCCTAAAATAACCAAAAAATTCTAATAGCCTTCTGCCAAAGGTGCTGGCAGTTCTTGGCTTGTTTTATAGAAACAGATTTTATGAAGTAATTTGGTATTATCTATTTTAGGTAATGAGGCTATGACTGAATGGAGTTTGCTGTGAGTACAAGACTTCACTGTCAAGTTTTGAAGACATTTGAATAGGTTGCTGAAATGTTTAAATGCAAGAAAACACTGCTGAAAACTGAACTTGAGTAAAATTAACATTGCTATTTTTAGTTTAAAACCATGCAAAATTTTCTGCGGATCATATGGGGGCAGAAAGAAGAAAAGAAGAAATAATGCAAAAAAGAAATTGTGACTTACAGTTTCAGTATATGTTATATAAGTAAGTTAACTTTATATAAGTGATAAATTATAAGTATATGCTTTATAAGTGTATAAGTTAACTTTAGAAGTTTTAAAATGGTAGGTAGGCCCACTGGCAGAGACCATAAGTCCTGGATTGCTTGGGACACTTCCACTTTATTCTGTGGTTATATGTAATTATTAACAGCATCCCCTTTTACTCTCAAAATGATCCAGTATGGATGATAAATATGATCACCCTATGAGTTGGCCAAAGAGCAGCTTATCATAATTTTGATGAGAAGTTTTTAAGCAGCAGCCATAAGTTGGAATTTAAGTGTTAAGTTTAAACTTTAGGAAAAACTGAAATCTAAACATGTGTTTTGACATAATGCAGAATATAATATGGATTTTTGTGTATCAGTGTTTTATTAACCCCGATTTAATTGTTCTTGCATTAGAGCAAGATACATTTTTCTAATTGGAGTTTTAAGCTTGGACTTACTAATTCATAAGCCATAAACATGAATATTATTATTTTTTAATTTAAAAAGTATTTATTTTTCAGTTTTATTGTGGCATAACTGGCAAATAAAAATGACATATATTCAAGGTGTACAACCTGATGATTGTTGTACATACACATTTCGCATATACATTGTGAAACGATTACCACATCACATTAACACGTCCATCATCACACAGTTGCCATTGTGTGTGTGTGTGTGTGTGTGTGTATGTGTGTGTGATGTCAGGACACTTCAGATCTACTGTTTTTTTCTTCATCCAGCCCAAAATGTCAAAGATCTACTTTCTTAGTGAATTACAAGTAAACAATACAGTACTATTAACTATAGTCACAGCACTGTATATTAGATCCCTAGAACTTACCTTGTTACTGAACATTTGTTCTCTGATTTTTAGGATATGACACAAAAAGCACAGGCAACAAAAGCAAAAACAGGCCAGGTGTGATGGCTCATGCCTGTAATCCTAGCATTTTGAAAGGGTAAGGTGGGTGGATTGCTCGAGCACAGGAGTTTGAGACCATCCTGGGCAACACGGCAAAACCCCATCTCTACAAAATATACCCCCCAAAATTAGCTGGGCATGGTGGCATGCACCTGTAGTCCCGGTTACTCGGGAGGCTGAGGTAGGAGGATCGCTTGAGCCCAGAAGGCTGCGGTTGCGGTGGGCCAAAATCACATGCACTCCAGTCTGCGTGACAGAGAGATACACTATCTCAAAGAAAAAAAAGGGCAAAAATAAACAAGTGGGACTACATCAAACTAAAAAGCTTCTGCACAGCAAAGGAAACAATGAAATGAAAAGACAACCTGTAGAATGGAAGAAAATATTTGCAAACCATGTATCTGATAAGGGGTTAACGTTCAAAATACATAAGGAATTTCCACAACTCAATAATTCATGACTTTGAATGTCCCCTGCTAGTCACTAAGCCCCTCTAAGCTGCCCTTGATGCCACCTACCCTCACCTGCAGAGCCATCTATGGGGTCAACAGCACCGAGAGTGGGGTATCTTACAACATCCTTCCCTGGGACAACCCAGGGGTTCTGAGAAGGTAGTTGGTGCCAAACACTGGGACAGATGGAACATGACAGCATGGGTATGTCTTGCTGATGGAAAGTAATTATGTCTCAGAGATGTCTAGGGTATAATTTTGGGAACAAACTACTTAGAACTCCCACACATTGTGGATATTGAATGTCTGGGACTACAAAGAGCCTTGATTCCAAAATGATCCCAAGGAAAGATCTTAATTGATACAGACGTGCTGGGAAGGGAAGAGCATGGTCCCTTTAAATGATACAGAAGTGGGGAAGTGAAGTGCTGGGTAGAGGAGGGCGTGGTCCCTAGCTAGGGCTCTACCCCCACGGACCTAGGTGAGGACAGGCATTTTTGCTTTGCTGTCCAAATGTTGCATTTCCCAAGACCACCCTGGCCTCTCATGCTCCCATCCTATGCCTATAAAAACCCGAGACCCTAGCAAGGCAGGGACAGAAGCGGCTGAAAGTCGAGAGGAGCACGTCAGCGGAGGAACACTTGGGGGCTGGACGTGGGGAGGAGCACATCGGCGGGCACTGGCACGCTGGCAGGCCATGAACTGGCAGAAGGGCATGGAGTTTGGCTGGGGCAGTTGGAGGAGAGCCCGTGGGGTCGAGTGGCCTGACTCCAGGTGAAAATCATCTCCCTTCTGGCACCCCTCCCCCCATCTGCTGAAAGCTACTTCCACTCAATAAAGCCTTGCACTCATTCTCCAAGCTCACCCGTGATGCGATTTTTCCGGTACACAAGGCAAGAACACCGGGATACAGAAAGCCCTCTGTCCTTGCGACAAGGTAGAGGGTCTAATTGAGCTGCTTAACACAAGCGGCTTATGGACGGCGAAACTAAAAGAGCACCCTGTAACACATGCCCGCTGGGGCTTAGGAGCTGCAAACATTCACCCTCTGGACACTGGTGTGGGGTCGGAGCCCCACAGCCTGCCCGTCTGTATGGTCCCTCAGAGGTTTGAGCCGCAGGGCACTGAAGAAGCGAGCCACAGTCCCTATCTCACGCCCTGCGAGAGGGAAAAGGGAACCGTTCCCGTTTCGTAATGTAGTGTTCAACTTCAATCGTTAAAGTTCCTTAGCCAAATATTAACTATAACACAAGTTGTCACAAAAATCACTAAGCAAAAAAGCGAACTATGACATCTATGACCCACTAAAAGAAACCAACAAATAAAAGTTGAATTCAAGTTGGTCATAATAATCTAGAGATAAATTATTAGAAATATAAAATGAATTTTGCAAGGTTGCTAAAACAAGGAAGATACATAAAAATGTATTTCTATGTATTTCTAGGTGTATAATCTAATAAAAGATTAAAAAATAAAATTAAAAAATGGGAAGATATACCTCATTTACGGATTGAAAATTTAACAGATCTCCCCCAAATTATCTAAACATTCAAGTAATCCCAATAAAAAGCCAAGTACATTTTTTTCCTTGCTTTCCTCCTTCTTTGTGATAATGGTATAGGTAAAATAAAAACCGTAAGCATGAATATTATTCTGCTACTGGAAGTGTAATTATCAAGTTTATGTAGAAGGCTGGGCGTGGTGGCTCACACCTGTAATCCTAGCACTTTGGGAGGCCGAGTCGGGCAGATCACCTGAGGTCAGGAGTTTGAGACCAGCCTGGCCGACTTGGCGAAACCCTGTCTCTACCAAAAATACAAAAATTAGCCAGGCGTGGTGGTGGGCGCCTGTAATCCCAGCTACTCAAGAGGCTGAAGCGGGAGAATCACTTGAACTGGGAGGTGGAGGCTGCAGTGAGCCAAGATTGTGCCACTGCACTCCAGCCTGGGCGACAGAGTGAGACTCAGAATGAAATTACATAATAGTTTATGTAGAAACATGGAAAATATTGTTATGTAAAGTAAATAAAATAGTATGTTCAATATGATTGCAGGCCTACATGTAAAGGCTTATGAAAAAAGTTATGTTGGGGTGGTGCTATTAGATTTTCTTACTGCTTCTATTACACTGGCTTTAAAATTAAAATTTCCTGCTTAGTAACTCCAAAAATATTGAGAATCCAAAAACGTATAAACACATACAAAACAAAACAAAACAACAACAACAAAACAACAATGGCCAGAAGATTAAAGCCAGTCAGGCCTTTGTGTCCCTGGTAGGGTCAGTTTTTCTAAGCACTAGACTTCAGAATTCCTAGAAGAATAAGAGGCCCATTATGCAATGGAAATGCAGTCCCATATACCAAAAATCATATATATATGTAATGTAAATACACACATATGTAATACACAGGCAAAATGGAAGGATGGCGTCAATAGTTCCAAGGCCTTTGAGGAAACCAGTCACCATGCCATGCCATCTCGAGTACGCGGGAGCCTGAGGTTAGAGACCTCATGTGAGGAATTGGGAAATTCCCTGTGTTTAGAGTCAGTCACCCTGGACACCAAACACATTTTCAATCTGTACTCTCAATTCTCCTTTCAGAAACTGGACATGCAAAAGTTTTCAAAAGGAGAGAAAAATACACACCATAAATCCTGGAAACCTGAAGTTAGCCAGAATGTGCTGTTAGACAGTTCTACTTTCAGTTTCTTATATTCTGAAGTTCTCTTGATTAGGAATTGGGTACCAGATGCAGTGCCTGATTCACAAACCAAGCCCTTTGCTTGGTGTCTTCTGGATAAATGTGTGCCTTGTCCCGCCTGGGCACATGGGACACTCCTGCTCCCCCAGCCCACCCCGCCCACCCCATGCGCCTGAGGCCTGAGCCAGGAGCTCAGGAGCTGCTCTGCCTTTCGTTCCCATAGAGGCCAGGACACTGGCAGTGAGCATGATTTCTGGGCTGACTCAGATGACTATCAAATAAACTGAATTTAAAAATAGTTCACTCAGGTGCCTACTGGTACCTTCTCAGGATACACACACTAAGTTGACAATAAACAACCCTAAAATAACCCAAATGACTCTAAGGTTCTTAAAATGCCCTTAGAATTCCCCCACCCTAAAAAACCTCAAGGATCCTGAAGATCCCTGTAAACGTCATGCTAGTGGGGTTGACCTCTAAGAAGCATCAGAATCACCCAGGGTTCCTGTGAAAACGCAGACTGCTGGGCCCCAACCCCAGAGTTCCTGATTCAGCAGATGGAGTAGGGCAGAGAATCTGCATCTCTAATATAAAGTTCTCAGGTGATGCTGATGTTTCTGGTGCACTAACTGTTCTAAATGAGCCTAAGGGGAACACTGCAATCACCTGGGGAGTTTTTTTAGAACACTGATGTCTATATTCCATACCAAGAGATTGTGGTTCAATTCTTCTGGGCTGTGGCATTGGCAGCAGAATTTTTAATATTGCCTCTTTCTTACTAACTGATATGGTTTGGCTGTGTCCCCCCCCAAATCTCATCTTGAATCCTAACGTGTTATGAGAGTGACCTGGTGTGGAGGGGCGGGTAATTGAATCATGGGGGCAAGTCTTTCCCAAGCTATTCTCATGATACTGAATGTCTCATGAAATCTGATGGTTTTAAAAAGAGGAGCTCCCCTGCACAAGCTCTCTTTGCCTGCTGCCATCCATGTAAGACTTGGCTTGCTCCACCTTGCCTTCCACCATGATTGTGAGGCTTCCCCAGCTACATGGAACTGTAAGTCCAATTAAACCTCTTTCTTTTGTAAATTGTCCAGTCTCGGTTATGTCTTCATCAGCAGCGTGAAAATGGACTAATACACAAACCTCCTCTCCGACTCCTGTATGCACTGAATTTGAGGACCACTTTACCAACCTTAAAAGATCCTAAATGAATCTAAACAATCCTTAACAATGAAACACAATCCCCTGTAAAACATTTAAAGGTGATAGACAATTAAAATGACAACAATAAAATGACACTAAGATTCCTAAACGCTATTAATCAACCCTAGATGATCCCAGAGGACCCTAAAAGAAGCTAAATAACTTTTAGTGACCATAAACTCTAGAAAAAAATTTAAATGCTGTAATAATTGAAAAAGGTCCTAAATAACCTTAATGAAGTCAAGATATAATAAAAAGGTCTAAATGACAGCAAATGCTACATGACCAGCCACATTCCTACCAACTGTAAACCTAAAAACTTTAAAACCAAATCCTTAACAACAATAACCCTAAATCATCCCAAATGAATTTCAAAAATCATAAATAATAGTAAAAGATCCTAAATAGCCAAAAATATTCTAAATGATCTTTGGTGGCTCCTAACATCCCTAGAGGTTCCTAAACCTTGAATGAGCCAACTTTAAAATCAAAGAACCCAAATGATATTCAGTGACCTAAATGACTGTAAACCTTTTTTTTAAAAAAAATCCCAAGTCCTTATCTAGCCTACCTGGACCTGCTACTGAACCAACCAGGGGTTCAGTCTATGTCCTACTGCTCGCCTCCCAGAAAACCAATCACTGAGACAATGAGCCTTGCCAAGGAAGAAGGCTTTCATCAGGTGCTGCAGCTAAGAAGACGGAAGATCAGTCTCAAATCCATCTCCCTGAGCAACTAAAATTAGGAGTTTATATAGCAGGAAATAAATGTAACCATGTGTGGGAAAACAGGAATTAGCAAGGGGTAAGCAAGAAGAGTTGATTAACGGGAAGCAGGTGGTTGCTTAGACAATCATGATGGGTAAGGGGGTTTTGCCTCTCATTGTCTAGATACAATGATCTGGTGAGTGTCAGATCCTTGATGCTATCTAGAAGGCCTGATAGCTGGTTTCCTGAGAAAGGAACTCAGATAAGACAAGTGTCATTTTCTCAGGTTTTAAGACTGGGAGGATCAATTTCTCTGTTTATTCAAAGAAACCATAAACATCAGCTCTATGGGACAACTGGGTCAGTTTCAGACCTACATGGTCTTCCTCAGGCCTCCTCTTGGGATCAGCTACACTGGCCTTGCTGCTCTTCAAGCATGTCCAGACCTGTCCTGCTTCTGGGACTTGCACTTGCCACTTGGTCTTTTTGGGATACTCTTCACCCAAGCTCATCACATGCTTGCCTCCTTTTTGATTCAGGTCTCAGCTCAACTCTTCCTTCCTAGCAAGGCCTTCCCCGAACACCCAAATCAGCTGCTCTCCTGCCAGCTATCCTCTGCTTCCACACTCTTCTAAGTGCTTTTTTTCAGTCTGAATGTATTCGTTGACTTATGTATCTCCTCCACTAGAACCTAAGCTCTGTGAAGGCATCCCAACCACCTAGAGCAGCACCTGATTCTTGGTAGACACTGTGAAAGGAAAATAAACCTCAGGACCCCCAACTCACTAAGGCAAAGGGAAAAGTCAAGTTAGGAAATGGGTCATGCAAACCTGCTTCCCATTTTGTTCAGAAAAAGATAGCTGCAAAGATAAAAAGAGCTACATACTTCCCTCACAATGTGCCCACAAGGAAATTCCTCGTGGGTCCCAAGATCTTTACCTTAAAAGAGTTCTATTGAATTTCACCCTGACCTTCACACGGATAGGACAAAGGACAGAAGTAAAAGTCATCTCTCTGTCCACCTGACTGCTTCCTCTGCCCTAAGTTTATTTTACCTTATGTAAAAATGCTGATTCACTGAGCATCAGACGAATGCATAAGTGACTATTCCTCTACCCTTTTCTTGCATGTATAATGTGTATTCAGTGAACGCTGATAGAAGAAGACTCAAAAGAATGCAACTGCTTGCCTTTCTCATTGCCCACCCTTTTGTAAAGTTCCTTCCTTTTTCCCGCAATAGTTGCTTTTTTCCCCTTTAAATATTGAGGTCTCCAGATGCCCTTTGGAAAAAGCAAAGGACCACAGATTTTTCCTGAGCTTCTGTGTTCTTTTCCTGGTTGTGTCCTTAACCTTGACAAATAAACCTCTTAAAATGATTGAGACCCATCTCGGTCATTTTCTTTGATTTACAACACCTTGATAATATTTGTGTAGTGAACGAATAAATATCCAAATGTACCATAAACATGAAGACCTCAAACACCAAGTGTGCCAATGCTAACAGCCTCTAAGTCCTGACCCAAACTCACTAACAAGTGTAATCCTTCTTAAAATGAACTTACATGATCCCATGCTATCGAAATCACCTCAAATGGTCCTAAATCCTTTGTGATCCTAAACTACCCAAAGTGGTATAAGACTTCAGACGCTCTTAGAGATTCTGAAGAGGTATAAATTACTCAAAACAACTTTAAATGCTAAATAATCTTCCATGACTATAAATGGTGCCAAGTGACATAAACCACCCCTAAAAAGCTCTAAGCAATCAAAATAGAACCTAAACCTTAAAAATCTCTGTAAGACTTTCAAGACATTTGAACCCTAAACAATCCTAACTCTAAATGCATAAAATATCCTGAATGAATAATTTCAGGATATTCTTTAGAGTCTAAGCACACTAAAGAATCCAATCATTTAAATGACCCTATGGTAATGTATCTAACAACCTTAGAGACCTAATACCTAGAAGTGGCCTCAGATGCCTGTAAACTACCACAGAACTTGAATATGCAAGTTTTGTGATTCTGGAGAGGATCTTGTTAGAACATTGACTCAGATTTAGCAGACCTAGGGTGCGGTTTGAGACACTGCCTTCCTACCAACTCCCAGGGGATGTGGATGCTGCTGATCCACAGGCCACACTTGGAATAGCAAAGCTAGAAGCTATATAAACCCAAAGGATCCTAAGTCAATTAAAACTACCCTAAATTCTAAAACACCCTCAGAGATCCCAGACAATCCTAAATCCTAAACAACTCTAAACATGCTAAAGTTTCTTAAATGATGCTTAAAACCTTAAGCCCCAGATTATCTCACATGACCCTAAACTAACCCAAACAACTCTAAATGACCCTAAGTATCTCGATAGACTCTAAGAGATCTTAAGCCTTATACCTCCCTAAGGGCCCTTAAAAATTTAAACTTGCTGGAAATGACTCTACACCCCAACAGTCCAAAAGACTCTAAAAGATCCAAGAAATCATAATTGCACCTAAAATACCCAAATTATTCTAAACTATTCTAATTGATCCAAAATTATCCTAAACCCAAAGTGGCCTTAAATAGTTGCAAAGGAACCCAAGTCTAATGAACCCAACCTTCTCAGCCTCAACAACATTAATGCTAACTCCAACGCCCTGGACATTAAGGACTCAACAATCCTAAACCCTAACAGGCAATGGAGCAGACACCTCGTCAGTGACCTGTCCTGACCCTCATTATTCCATACCTCAATGACTCATCTGTTACCCAAAGACCAGAGCTCTGTTTGTATACTTGGACTTTAACCTTGATTTAGGGATCCTGTTGGTGTTGCAACAGAAGACCCCAAATTCCAAATGATGATAAATTAATGGATGTTTGACCCTGAACCCCTTGACAATGACAACCCTAAAGGCCTAATTACCACAAACAAATGATCCTGAGCTCTAAACTCTGTGAAGAAGTTGGAGCAGATCCACATACATCGTGACCAGAATCCGAACCCTACATCTCTCTTCTTAATGATCAGATACCTTCACCCTAATAATCCCAATGATACAAGAAGAGTGACAGAGACTACGCTGAGACTTTCTTGTTCCCAAATGTAACTTTGACTATGATCCCAAGGGCTCTAAACTCTAATAACTCCAATCTTAAACCCTAAACCCTAAATAATGATAAAACATTATTAAGATACTCAACTGTGGCTGGGCGCGGTGGCTCATGCCTGTAATCCTAGCACTTTGGGAGGCTGAAGTGGGCGGATCACAAGGTCAGGAGATCAAGACCATCCTGACTAACACAGTGAAACCCCGTCTCTACTAAAAATACAAAAAATTAGCCGGGCATGGTGGTGGGTGCCTGTAGTCCCAGCTACTTGGGAGGCTGAGGCAGGAGAATGGCGTGAACCCGGGAGGCGGAGCTTGCAGTGAGCTGAGATTGTGCCACTGCACTCCAGCCTGGGCGACAGAGCAAGACTCCATCTCAAAAAAAAAAAAAAAGATACTGAACTGTGAGGCTAACTCTGAAACTCCTGATGGACATCATCAGACTCTTCACCACGGCACTCCCTACCCTGGGCCCACGTGCATGCCCATCACCTGAGGATGTTATTATAAAGTAATATGAACTCACATTTCTAAAATAGATTTATTCCACTTTTGAACCGGGATCCAAAAATCCACTTGAGGACCACGAGCCATGTTTTTCTCATTTTAATCACCAAAATTCATCCGGAATTGAGGTAAAAAATAATGCAGATTTGGTGCTTTATGAGATGAAATATAAGTTACCCCTGCAGCAGTAAAGTTGCTCTTCAGGCCAGTGTGACATTAAGCATGTTGAAAAAGAGGGGGGCAAAGTCCCAGGAGTAGCTACTTAAAGGACAAGAATTCATGTGGGATATTATAAATGAATTATGCTCAGGGACAATGACTTAAACTGCTTTATCCCCTCAAGAAGGATGCTCCAAAAATGCATCTCCCAGAAAATTCAAGATCCAGAATACTGTCTTTTTTGGGGGGACATATTGAAAGATAACATTTTAGTTTCAATGGACTATATAAATGAGATTCAAGTCCTGGTAATAAAGATGGGTCTGTGTAATAATTTCTTCATTCAGAATTTGTAGAGGAAGGATATTAAAGCCTACAGACCTGTCACCCCACCAATTCTACTAGCTGAAAGTAGATGCCAAGACGTAATGTTAAGTGAAAATAGTTGGTGAAAGATACATACATGATGATACTATTTATGTATCATACACACACAAAAGTTGATCTTTGTATATATATAAAATCCTTACATATATTAATAGATACATAGATCTCAATAGACTCTAAGAGATCTTAAGCCTTTTTTTTTTTTTTTTTTTTTTAAGATGGAGTTTCGCTCTTATTGCCCAGGCTGGAGTACAATGCTGTGATCTCGGCTTACTGCAATGTCTGCCTCCCAGGTTCAAATGATTCTCCTGCCTCAGCCTCCTGAGTAGCTGGGATTACAGTTGTCTGCCACCATGCTTGGCTAATTTTTTGTGTTTTTAGTACAGATGGGGTTTCACCATGTTGGCCAGGCTGGTCTTGAACTCCTGACCTCAGGTGATCCACCCACCTTGGCCTCCCAAAGTGCTGGGATTACAGGCGTAAACCACTGCACCCGGCCAGATCTTAAGCCTTATACCTCCTTAAGGACCCTTAAAACTTCAGATTTGCTTTAAATGACTCTAAACCCCAACGGTCTTTATATATATATATATAAACCGTTGGAAGGATATAATTGTTAAGGGTTATCGTGAGGCAAGGATGGGGGCTGGGGGTGGCGGCTTTACTTGTGATCAATTAACTTTTTTCAAAACACAGTTTGTCTTTTCTTCAATGATAGACATGCACATGGTTAAGAAAGTCAAACAAAACCAGCTCTCTTTTGCTCCTACCATGCTCTACCTCCCCTTCCTTCCCACGGCCTTCAATTCTTCTAGCTGATTCTTTGGTACTTGCCATCTTATCTGTAAGTAGCATGTTGGTGTTTCTCTTCCTGATTTGCTCATCTGGGGCCTTATCTTTCTCTACCTCCCTCCCCAATTCTTGGGTCTCCGTCCTGCCAATCATAATTTTTGGTTAGCGCACATCTGCCTTTATGTTGTATAATTGTATAAACATGCTCTCTAAAGCTGAATGTATACTGTATTTGGCTTATTTTTCCATTTTTAGCACAACTTTTTGTTTTCCTTGAAGTTAAAAATTGTCCTTCTGTTTGCTTAGGTTTTCAATGTATTTTTCATGAATTCAGCCCATATTTGTCCCAAATTCTCTAAACCTTTCATATGTTCAGTCTCCCCCAGCATTCTATCCATTGTATCTCCTTGAGGACCTGTCTCCGGGGTGACTCTCAGCCTGGTGCTGGTTGTCAGCAGGGGTCTGTCTTCGTCATCTCCTGGGGTTCATGTAGCACACACACACACTCTCTCCATCTTTATTTCCTCTTTCCTGCAAACCACACCTTCCTCTTTTGGACTGACTTTCTGCTACTAGCAGGATTGCAAATTCTGACTTCTCAGGCAATGCTGCCCTGTAGAAGTGAAAGTTCCATGGGATTCAGGAATTCCTGATTTTTCAAGAAAATCCAGAAACCCAGAAACCCAGATTATTATCAGAATCTCTGGTTTTTAAAAACTGTGGTAGACAGGAAAAGATTGTCACTTGTATTGGCTTGTAGGCCACCACTTGGTTATCTCTACTCTAGTTAACTCAGTCTAACTAAAGTTAAACTGGTCCCCCAGGCCATGCCTATATCCTTTTGCTCTATAGTTTGAGATTATTAAGACTTTAGGCCAGGCGCGGTGGCTCATGCCTGTAATCCCAGCAGTTTGGGAGGCTGAGGCAGGCGGATCCCTTGAGGTTAGGAGTTTGCGACCAGCCTGGCCAACACAGCAAAACCCCGTCTTTACTAAAAATACAAAAATTAGCCAGGCACGGTGGCACATGCCTGTAGTCCCAGCTACTCAGGAGGCTGAGGCAGGGGAATCGCTTGAACCCAGGAGGCAGAGGTTGCAGTGAGCCAAGACCGTGCCACTGCACTCCAGCCTGGGCAACAGAGTGAGACTCTGTCGCAAAAAAAAAAAAAAAAAATTATTAAGACTTTAGAAGTCTATATGTTTAGAAGATTACAGAAGAAAACACATGTGTTTCCCCACCCAAAAACAAATGGAGGGGAGCTGCTGGCCTTACAAGATTTGTTGAAGGTTTCTTTAGTCACAGGGGTTTGGCTTGGGGCTTGACATTTGGGGCAGATACTAGTTGTGGAACCTAGGTTTGCCCCCTCCCTGAGATAAAGTTCATTACTCCTGCATCTCCATCATTCCAGCCACTGCAGGTGAGGTGCATGCCCTTGGCTGATAGGGCACAACCCTTCCACCTCAGCAGAACACCCTGGATGTCCCCGGGGCCTGGAAGGTGCGGAGGCAGCAGGGCCTCTCTCCTGAAGTCCCAGCAGGGGAGCACACCTGCCTCAAGGTCTGGCAGGCATTTGGCTGCACAATTGTCCCACAGGCCCATGTGGTCATTTTCGCACACATGGCTATGCATTCCATCACCTTCAAGCCACTGAAACTACACCATGGCTTGGGTCAGCTTTCCAACTCTGCCCCAGTTGCCTCCTGATATGAGAGGGCCAGGAGGGCCATTTGACTCAGGATCAAATTCATGAAGGGCCTTTAATACATGCTTTTGACATTCTCACTAAATGAGATGCAATAGGGTCTTAGCTTGGGCTCCTTCAGAAGCAGACATTAAGGCCAGGAATTGGGCCAGGCGCGGTGGCTCACGCCTGTAATCCCAAAACTTTGGGAGGCTGAGGCGGGCGGATCACAAGGTCAGGAGTTTGACACCAGCCTGGCCAATATGATGAAACACCATCTCTACTAAAAATATAAAGATTAGCCGGGAGTGGTGGTGCGCGCCTGTAGTCCCAGCTACTCAGGAGGCTGAGGCAGGAGAATCGCTTGAACCTGGGAGGCGGAGGTTGCAGTGAGCTGAGATGGTGCCATTGCACTCCAGCCTGGGCAAGAGAGCAAGACTCCATTTCAAAAAACAAAAAACACAACAAACAAACAAAAATAGGATTTGAGGGCTAGTAGTTTATTTGGGACTTGATTCTAGAAAACAGTGGAAGTGGAGTGGGGAAGTCTAATAGGAGGGGAAGGAAGCTTATTTGGGTGTGTCATTAAATAAGTTCTGATGGTGGGCAACTGGAGTTCAGTCCCAGTGGAGACCTCTAGGAGCCAGTGTAGAAGGTACCCCAGAGTTTCTCCACCTAGGGGTGAGGGAGTTGGGGTATTTATATACCAACTTCCGTTAGGCATTGGTTGAAGGCTGCTCTTGGGGGCCAGAGAGGCATTAATTCCCTGAGACATCTGCAGTGTACACAAGCAGAGCAGGCTCTGGTGACCAAAAAAGCCTGAAGGCCAAGGGACACAGTTGATGGCCATTAGAGGCATATGTGCACAGACATGGTGAGTGGATATTAGATGTCAATATTTAAACTATTCTGCACTTTTGTGAACTTGTTTTGGCATTTCATCATCTTTTAATTTCCTGGACATCCTAAAAAGAAATACCTTTTTCCTCCACTCCAGATGACATTCTTGGAATTTATTTAAGGTCCACCTAAATATTAATAATCCAAAATAACCTCCCTCTCTCAAGATCCTTGACTTAACCCAATTTGCAAAGACCCTTTTCCCATATAAGACAATATTCATAGGTTTCAGGGATTAGGACCTGATATTTTTGGGGGACATTTTTCAGCCTACCACACTCTGGAAGATCTAAACTAGTTTGGAAAAAGTGAGGTTGGAAAAAAAAAAAAAAAAAAGAAATGCCCTCAATCAGCTGGATAACCCTGTTTAATAGACAAGAAGATACACAACATGGGAAGCCTACTGCATTGCCCGGTCATGAGAGACAAAGGGAAGTGAATGTGGCTGAAGCAGGGCTAACTCCAGACCAGCTCTCAGCACCTCCACTTCCCTTCTTCTCTTCTTCTAAGCCAACTCCAAATCTCAATGCTGTCAAAATTCTGGGTAAATCCCAGAGCAGTTAGTGAACTGGGGAAGCTTTGGTTCTTTCCTCAGTCCTTCATTTGACACTGGAAACAATTAAGATCCCAGGCAGAGAGAGACAAGAAAGAGTGTTTTCACCTCTGCAGAGACAGTGCGTCCCAGGAGAGAAGCCCTTTGGGAATTTGGAAGGCCAAACCTTCCTCTGTGGAAGCCTGAGGGACATGCTGAAATTGCCCCTCTATTTCCTTGCTTTCCATCCAAGTGATTTGCTCCAACTTGTCCCACTGTGGATGAGGTCATCTCCATTCTCTGACGGCCCCATCTGAGATATTCAACTTGACTTTTCTTGCTCTGAGGAGCTCAGGCCATTGGGTGTTTGGGGTTGGCTTTTGGTTGGTTTGCTTCATTCTCCTCTGAGCACATGGCTGTCAACTCCAAGGTACCTGCCAGATAGAAAGTATGAGGGAAAGCATTTTGCAGGCACTCTGGAGTTTTCAGCCACCTGCTGACATTACAGAAACCCCTAGTTTTCCCTGTGTGGACCAACCAGGTGTCTGTTCCCTGGAATGCCAGACCTCCTTAGGCCCATCCTGTGGACCCCGAGGTGGGGGTATTCACAGAATTCAGGCCAGTGGCTGGGCAATGCCCTTCCTGCTGATAGCACTCGGCTTTGTCCCTTTTCTTCTGGCTCTTTTTTTTTTTTTCCCCACATCTGCAACAGATTTATTTTTTAAAGGAAGGGATTTTGAGAGGAAAAACATTGGGCGGAGACGTATGGAATAGAAAATAAATACAAACGTAAGCCATTTGGCTGGTTTGTAACCACAACAAGCTAGTACAGAAAATGACCCGTTACACAGTCTAGTAAGCTGGGAGCGGTGGAGCCTGCCTGTAGTATCAGCTACTCAAGAGGCTGGGGTGGGAGTATTGCTTGAGCCTGGGAATTCGAGG